>NC_000007.14:49331151-49634181 GCF_000001405.40 Homo sapiens | reverse complement strand
CATAATCACTTTAGAGAATGAGGTGCTGCAACTTCAGGAACTTGGATCCTGATGTTAGCCTTAGGTGGGATAAGGGCTATGGGCCATCTCCAATGGAGGTGTGAAAAGGTGTGACCCATTCTGCCTGCGTGGGAGCAGGTTGCTGCATATGGATAAGTGTGTAAGGAGGTCTGTGTATAGGGATCTGAGTGTGAAGAGGTCTGTGTATATGGATCTGAGTGTAAGGAGGTCTGTGTATATTGATGTGTGTGTGAGGAGGTCTGTGTATATGGATGTGAGTGTGAGGAGGTCTGTGTATATGAATCTTGTGTGAGGAGGTCTGTGTACATGGATGTGAGTGTGAGGAGGTCTGTGTATATGGATGTGTGTGTGAGGAGGTCTGTGTATATGGATCTGAGTGAGGAGGTCTGTGTATATTGATGTGTGTGTGAGGAGGTCTGTGTATATGGATGTGAGTGTGAGGAGGTCTGTGTATATGAATCTTGTGTGAGGAGGTCTGTGTACATGGATGTGAGTGTGAGGAGGTCTGTGTATATGGATGTGAGTGTGAGGAGGTCTGTGTATATGGATCTGAGTGTAAGGAGGTCTGTGTATGTTGATGTGTGTGTGAGGAGGTCTGTGTATATGGATCTGAGTGTAAGGAGGTCTGTGTATATTGATGTGTGTGTGAGGAGGTCTGTGTATATGGATCTGAGTGTAAGGAGGTCTGTGTATATTGATGTGTGTGTGAGGAGGTCTGTGTATATGGATCTGAGTGTAAGGAGGTCTGTGTATATTGATGTGTGTGTGAGGAGGTGTACATGGATGTGAGTGTGAGGAGGTCTGTGTACATGGATGTGTGTATGAAGTCTGTGTATATAGATCGGAGTGTGAGGAGATCTGTGTATATGTGTTTATGTAGCTCTTTCTATATGGTTTTTTATGTCATAGGCAGCCCACTCTGGTGGTGAGAGGATCAGAGATTTTCAAAAGTAAAGCATCATCTACCTCAATGTGTGTCTTGCCTGAGAGGATCAAAATACAAGCTTTGGGAAAACTGGCTAGCAGTAAACGTTAACAATTGCAACTTTTTATTACATACCAGGAGGCAGATCCCTACATCCCTTATTATTAATTTCCTCCGCAATGGATTTAGGGTAAGAGCATATTTAACTTGCTGGCATTCAAACTCAAGAATGTTTAACTTGAAACTTATGCTCTTTCCTTCTGCCCTGCTGAGTCAAGCACTTTGTCCTTGGGGTACCCATCCAAATCCTGGAAGACAGTTGAAGTTTACTTAGACAGAAGCAGCGGCCCTGCCCCACCAACAGACTCCTACAGCAATTGTGCACGTCATGTTGGCTGACATGCATTAAGTAACTTCTGCATACAGGGAGCAGGTGGGTGAGGGAGGTGGGTGGGAGTTGTCCGCATCATAGACGGTCTTATGGATGGGGATGCACTATAGTTTTCCAAAGTGTTAAATACTAACTGCTGTTGATGCAAAGATAAGGCGCTGGGTGCAAAGAAAAGATGAAAAGATTCAACCCTCTGGAAGCTGAGCGCTTCCTCTTGCTGGACAGACAGGAGACTTGGCCTCTCTGCAGGTGTCCTTAGCATATTGTCATTGGAAGCAAGGCTGGTGTGGAGCCCATTTGCAGCTCAGGCCCCTGGTAGGGCAGACCTGCAAGTAGTGGGGGCATTACAACTCCCACTGAGATGGCCTCAGATTGCTGGAGTGGACACTCAATACACTTAGTAAGTTTAAAAAAGATTCATTAAGCTCAGAGGAATGCTTGCTGTTGGGAAACCTGGAAGAGATGAGTGCACCTTGTTCGTGGCATCCCTTTTTCCACCCTCTGGGCGGGGCTTAAGTTCTGCTGGAGTGTCTCCTGCCCAGGCACTTCATCAGGCCCGCTCCTCCTTGGTTGTCTTCCTCACTTCTGTGCTCTCTATCTGAGCCTTTCTTCTGACTCTGGGTTCCAGTGCTTGTCTGATCTCTTCCATCTGCATCCCGCCTGCTGCCAGCAACTTTCTCTGCTGCTGGATTAATTCCCATTTCTATTGTCTCAGTGACCTCAGGCAGGCCTGCAATTCAGTGTGGTAAAGAGTTTGAGGGTTTTTTCTTTCTTTTTTTGGTTCTTCTGTGGGAACAAGAACACGCGTATGCACAAACGAATTATTTTTTACAAACTTACGGAATTAGAAAACAGCTGCAAGGATGATTCCGGGATTAGGAATAATCATATGCATTTGTTGGAGTAGAGAGGTCATCTTAATATGTGCAGGGTGCCTGACTGGGTGTCCAAAGCCAAGTGATCATTATGGTCCCGTCCTACGGCCTTGGGGACTCTGAGAGCACTCACCCGCTCTCTGCCTTGGCTGCTTTTCTTCAGAGCCAGGTGAGCCTGTGGGTTTATCCCCAGCAGTCCTGGGAGCTCAAGTACAATCTCACTCTTTTCTTTTTTTGAGAGTTGTATTTCTTTTAGTTATCTTTTCTGGTGTCTTGCTCTTCCCAAACCCTCTGAACACTGTCCTTGGGTCACTGCCAAAGAGATTGTCAGAACAAGATGCCCAGTTCCCTTTTTTGGAGGTGCTGCCCAAGTACACTTGAGTCTTTTCTTTCCTGAACTACCATGACTTTCAAATGGATTCTGTCCAAAGTTAGCATGTGATGAAGACATATTTGCAGGCCACAGTTTTTTACCTGGTCAGTTAACAAGGCTGAGAGCTCAATCTATAGCCTTTTAACAAATTATCAAGCAGAAAGCACAGGGGGTTTGCTGTAATTGGGTTTGGATTATGAGTCCATGCTGCTGACTCATGATCCAGAAGCAGAGGCTGCAGGAGCCCCCTTTCACATGCTGTCTTTCCCTGACTCCACAGCAGCCCAGCCTGCCAAGTGAGGCTGCACACCTAGGGCAGCTAGTCCTGGCTTCCCTGTTTCTGTCTTAGCTGTTTTTGACAAGTTTTCTTCCCTTGCACATGTCTTCTAGAGCTGTGCTGTCTGTGCTGTGTGGTATGGTCTATTAACCCCCCCACCCCCATTGCCAGCCTACACTCAGGACCAACTACACTCTTTTTTCCTCTAAAACTAATTTCTTTCCTTCTCTCCTGTTCAAGGAAGCTGCAAGCTCTTATCGTAACTGAAATCTTATTGAATTCACAGTAAAAGTGCTAGGGTGTAAAGTTACTCTCCAATATGAAAAGCAGTGAGGCACATAGACGTCAAGGAGCTCTATAACATTTAAAAAAATGAATCCTAATCAGTTTGTGGTAGGGGACAAAACAAAAATAGAAATCTTATTTTTAGGAACTCAATTATCTTCCTCCAAAAATTCATGTGCTGAAGTCTGAACTCCAAAGTGACAGTGTGTGGAGATAAGGCCTTTAGAGTGGTAATTTAGGTTACATGAGGTCATAAGGTGGGGCCTTAATCTAATAGGACTGTTGTCGTTCCGAGAGAAAGAGCCATCACGGGTGTGCATGCATGGAGGAAAAGCCGTGTGAGGACACAGAGAGTGGACGGCATCTGCAAGCTGAGGAGAGAGGTGTCAGGAGAAGCCAACACTGCCCACCCCCGGGTCTTGGATCTCCAGTGTCTAGAACTGTCAGAAATAAATTTCCGCTGTTTAAAACACCCAGTCTGTGGTATTTTCTAAAGGCAGTCTGTGAAAACTAATACAGAAATCAACTTCTAGAAGGATTTTTGGGAAGGATATGGACCCTGAGTAGGCCAGGGAAACAACTTAACATTAGGGGTTACTAAGAGATGTTTTCTGACACATGGTAGACCCTAAGTATTTGAGGGATAGATGGGAGGATGGGCATTTGGATGGAGGAATGAATTACTTGGACATTGATTGTCCTAACAAGAAGAGGAATATCTCCAAGGATCATGCAAGGCACTCTCCCAAATAAAAGTGTGTGGCACATTTCTAATTAGCACAGTACCTGACCCATTAATGAGAATCGATAAAGTTGGGCTTAATCTGAACTGAATCTTTTTTCATCCTTGGATGTATGTATGTGTTTTTGTAATTTTCAAAGACCAGCACTGGCTCTGGCTTACCAAAATAAAATTAAACAAGTCTGAGTCACTTGACCATTCCCCGTGGGTTTTCTTCAGGATGGTTTTTCAAAGAAAACTCTTCAACTGAAAGAAGTAGGTTACATTTCATGAGCTTTAAGTGAGCGCTAAAGTCAGTCAGAGTCAAGGCCCTCTAAGACTAATCCAGGAAGCTGTAGGCACTTGGGCAGAAATCACACTTCCAGTGTGGGAAGCTGTGGCAGTCAGCAGCATGTGTGAAGCAAACCATGGGGGACATGGGGAAACTGATGCAGGTCTCGGCAGAAAGTGCCTCTGACTGTGCATCTGGGGATGGAGAAAGTGTGTGTGGAGGGATCTGGCAGAAGAAGTCCTGGACTTCAATCCTCAACCTTTACTTGTCTCTTAGCAGATTTTTCTCCTTGAGAGGAGTATTAAAACCCCATCATTAAACCCCCAAATTGGAATTAACATAAAATAATCCTCTGGCATGTGTCCATTTATGTTTTCTGCATTGGTGTTAGGAAAGCTGAAATGACATATTCCCACTTGTATTGCTTTGGGAAGAGTGACAGAATTGAAATAAACTACCACCATTTAACCTTTAAAATGAGGCAATTTGTAACAGGTGCAGGGAGGGAGGAAAGAACATGGACTTTGGAGGCAGAGCTGTGCTCCAGTGCTAAAGGCCAGTGTGGCTTGTTCCAACACCTTCAGGGAAGTTGCCAAATCACCCCAAGCCTCAATTTTTACATCTGCAAAAATGGAAACATGACCTTGTTTCCAGTAACATAGTAAAATGAGCTACTACAAAATATCTCCTGTTCACAATACATAAATATGCTGGATAAAATCTAATGACAAAACCAAAACTAAAATCCATGGCTGGGTTCAAGAGAAAGAAAGAGAAGTTGAGGTGCCAGAAATAAAGTCCTTTAAAACCAGACTTGAGAGTTGAAGACCTAGTGCTACTGAATTATGAGGGGCCAGGAGTAGGAAGAGAATGTGGGTTATATAGGAATAGGGGCTTGACCTTCCAGCCTTGTAGCAGGAAAGTGAGATGCATTAAAAAACTGGGTGCCCACCCATGGCTGCAGTAGGGACATATGTCTACAATGACCCCAAGTGTACCTGGTGGGGATTAAAATTAAAGTAGGAAAATAGGAATTTTAGATACAGACAAACACACATACACCAATCTTGGAAAATCAAAAAGTCACAACAAAACAGTATTCTATATTATTAAACTTATACAAACATGCAGTAAAGGAACAAAATATCCAAAAAGTAAATACACCCCTTCAGGTAACTCTAGAAAGGGTGAATAAGTTGGGTGATGAAACTCATCTGTGTATGCAACATTTTATTTTTTCAAAGGAAAAAAAAGGAAGTAAAGAAAGAAGAAATGGATGAAAGGAGAAAGACAGGAAGAAAAGGAATGATCTAAAGTAAATACAGTAAAATGCTAATATTTTAAAAATCTAGGTTGTATGAGCAAGAATTTTTAAAAATTATTTTTAATGTTTTTTCTATAAGTAAAAATATCTTATATTAAAAGACAAAAAGATGAAACTACCTATTTTTTGAAAATACCTATTTTTGTAATGATTGTGATTATGTGTTTTATATGTAATATACATCATGTAATGAGATATATGTATATCACAGTGGATATTAATATTACATATATACTTAGAAGATATATATCATTTACACCAAGTATATCAGTATATAAAAAGTGCAGTTTTTTGATCCTATATTTATTTCCATAAAGGTTAATGATTTTTACCCAAATTTATCTCTTTCTTTCAAGGATTCAAACTACTGCAACTTTTGTAAGTTCTTAAAAAGACACCAGAAATAAACTAGACAGGGTTTGCAAGCTTTGGAAAGTCCTCCAGTGTGGGGCAGGACCACACTGGTCACCAAAAAATAGCAGCTCTGGGCTGGATGCCTGGGCCTGAAACCCAGCTCCACTGCCTGTTAGCTGTATGGCTTCTGGCAAGTCCCTTCACCTCCCCACACTTTAGTTTTGCATGTGTAAAATAGCTGTGTGATGGTATTTACCTCAAAGATTGTTATAAAGATTAAATTAATATATTAAACTTGGAATATGGCCTGGCACATAGTAAATACTATCTATATATTATTGGTAATTTTAATTTTATTTATTATCATTATTATCATTATTTTTATTTGAGGCAGGGTCTTGCTCTGTTGCCCAGGCTGGAGTAGAATGGTGCAATCACAGCTCACTGCAGCCAAGTCCTCCCAGGCTCAAGTGTTCCTCCCATCTCAACCTCCCAAGTAGCTGGGACCACAGGTATGTTCCATTAAAGTGGGCTAATTTTTGTATTTTTTGTAGAGATGGGGTTTTGCCATGTGGCCCAGGTTGGTCTCAAACTCCTAGGCCCAAGTGATCCTCCCACCTCAGCCTCTCAAAGTGCTAGGATTACAGGTGCTGGTAATTTTAAAATAATAATTAAAAAAAAATCCACAAAGTGAATTTATTTTCACAAATTTAGAGAGATATTCACATATTACTTGTGTTGGACAGTCAGTGGCTACTGATGCATTAGATAGTATTTAATGGATAAAGAGTGTTGTCCTCCAGCACTTTGGGAGGCCGAGGCGGGTGGATCATGAGGTCAAGAGATCGAGACCATCCTGGCTAACACGGTGAAACCCTGTCTTTACTAAAAATACAAAAAAAAAAAAAAAAAAAAAATTAGCCGGGCGTGGTGGCGGGCGCCTGTAGTCCCAGCTACTCGGAGCTACTCGGGAGGCTGAGGCAGGAGAATGGCGTGAACCTGGGAGGTGGAGTTTGCAGTAAGCTGAGATCGCGCCACTGCATTCCAGCCCGGGCGACAGAGCGAGACTCCGTCTCAAAAAAAAAAAAAAAAAAAAAGAGTGTTGTCCAAAAGAATACCAGAATGGCTAAAGAGTAGAAAGGAAAGTTTTCCTGGTGATAACTGTTTGTAAACGAGGAAGAGATAGTTTCCCACACATGCCAAAGTTGCTCTCTTCAAGGAGGGAAAGGGCAGTTGGCTTTTATGCCTCACAGGGCCCATATCACGCAATAGAGTCTTAGATATTCCATGGTCTTTAGGGAAAAGCCTAATTTATGAGGGGAGCTGAGCACATATGCAATGAGTAAACTTGTATGTAATATACATCTCAGGTTCAATTTCTGATGGGGTTTTAGCTTTAAAGTAAAGTGGAATTTGGCTGTTTGCATCAAAAGATGGACCATAGGACACAAAGACAGTTTGTGCACCATCTCTATAATCAGGCTGAAACTGGCTTAAGTCTGCAGCTGCCTGTCAGGAAAGGGTGTTTGTCAGGCTGGTCCTCTGTCCATTCGCAGTTGTTGTGGTCTGGACTGTAATTCAGCGTTAAGACAGGTTTGATCATTCATCTGATAGCTCCTATTGTTAGGCAGTTTAGCAAGCATGTGGTTTTTCTTGTAGCCATAGGAATTTAGGGAGTTGTCATGTCAGTCAATTCCTGAACCCTCAACCTATTGGTATAGGTAATGTTGCTTCTTTAACCTTGCAGTCCCTCTTAGTTGATAAAGGGGCATTTATTTTGGTCTCTGAAATCACAAGAGAAGCACTCCCACAAACAGCTCCAATGCTTCTTCCAGCCTTGCTCCTCCTGAATTCTCACGTTTTCCGCTGGGAGCCGGGTCTGCTGAGCTGCCAACCTACTGCCATGGTGCAATTTACCATCTGTGTCAGCTCATCGTGTCAGGTTAAGGTGGAAACGAATAGCAATACCTACTCTCTTTGTTGTTAAAAATAGGGAAATCATTCCTTCCTGGAGGTTAAATAAGACCAAGTAGTGAAGCAGTCAGCACATTGCAGAGTGGTACACACATGGCGGGGTCTGGTGTTTGAATCACCACCTCTTTGTCTGGAGACCTTGTCCTTTTATTTTCCTTGCCTGCTTTTTATCTCATCTTTCCAATAAAGGAAATGAAGGGTGTGATGTTCCCCTTCCTGTGTCCATGTGATCTCATTGTTCATTTCCCACCTATGGGGACTGTAGTGGGGTGGGGGGATGGGGGAGGGATAGCATTGGGAGATATACCTAATGCTAGATGACGAGTTAGTGGGTGCAGCACACCAGCATGGCACATGTATACGTATGTAACTAACCTGCACAATGTGCACATGTACCCTAAAACTTAAAGTATAATAATAAATAAAAAAAAAAAGGAAATGAAGGGAAATAACATGAGAAGACAAGAAAAGAGATGAAAACAAAAAAGGAAAAGAGAAGAAGAGACACGACTCAGTGATGTTTTCCAGAATGGGCTGCAAGGCCAGAGGTGTGCTGGTGGGTTTGAGCAGTATTAGTAGGCAGTTGGCTCAGAACATGGTCCAGTGACAACATTCACATGTTGCTAAAGCGCCTCCTTAGGAGAAAGCAGTTACTTTCTGGCTTGTATTTTGCTTGCATTGTGTGGGGTCTACCAGATGAGAGGTGGACACCACGAGCTCTGCTTCCACAGCCCCCAAGTCTGTTCTCTGAATTCCTGTTAATCAAAGACTCAAAAATATCACTCTGAAGGTCAGATTCTTCTTAGCCTGCATGAGGAGCCTACTATATCTTAGCTAAGCCCTAGATCCAATAATGTATAAAAGCAATTAAATCACATGAAGACCTTTGAATGGTTCTCATCCTATTTGGAGAAACGGAAAAGTACATGGTGACCTTAGTACAGAGTGGGGCTGCAAGCATTCTTTGAAAGTACCCAGAGGAGGGTCACACTCTCTGGAGGTGTGGGAGTTCCAGCCCAAATCATAGGCAGAAAGCCTGACATTTTACAAATGCACTGAGTCACTCCATAATGTTCTGTGAACTTTCTTTTTGAATTTTCTGGATTGGCTCTCTACAGTTCCTAAATTAACAACCAACAAGCTAGCTTTCTCATTCCCCTTTTGCTGAAGGCATCCAGTCTCATTATGTCTATTTATAACAACATAAAATCCTTCTGTGAATGAGACTAATAATATAAAATGTATCAAAGTCATGTCCAAGGACTGCAGGGCATATTAATTTGCTTCCATGGGTTTTAACTTGGCAGTT
Source organism: Homo sapiens (assembly GCF_000001405.40). Taxonomy (NCBI): domain Eukaryota; kingdom Metazoa; phylum Chordata; class Mammalia; order Primates; family Hominidae; genus Homo; species Homo sapiens. Next base: position 49,625,060 of record NC_000007.14, on the reverse strand, counting down.
CCCATTAACATTAATGGGATTATTAGGTTAAAATGCAACATAATGAACAAAGAATAGTTATTAGAACAGGCCTAAACAATTCATGTAAGAAACAAAAATTCCATAATAATGCAGATTACATGTACATATTAAAATAGCATTATGATATCATGGAAGAGAACTTTTGTTATTCAAGAATGTGTTCACAAAGTTGGAATGCATGCTGGATCCTAACTGGTCACCAAGCCCTGTGATTGTAATAATGTGAGCCTCCTACCCTTTGTGGTGGTTATTGCTAAGGGGAAACTCTTTCAGTCCCAAGGAGAGCTCATTAACAATAACATCTGTTATTCATTACTACCAAAATGAAAGCTTTGTTTTCAGAAGATGAAACTCCAAGCAGAATGATGCTAAGATAGGTAAAATTTGTCTGCAAACTAAATTATTTCCAGACAAATCAATCTCTGACAAAAATTATATCCTGGCAATATATCAATAAAGATTACTCGTGCAGTTAGAAGCAATGCAAAAATAGCTTATAAAAATGTGCTTCTCCCTGAGTGCCTACCTTATTTTTTTTTTAAATTGGAACTGCACAATTAGAGTCCAGAATAATAGAAATATATATAAATATATCTATTCACACACATGTGTACATATACACATACACTCATATATATACACATATATATACACACACATACATACATATATATAAAGTCTATTTTTCTATCTATCTGTATTAGTTTATTAAGGTGGTCATGACAAACTGCCACAGACTGGGTGGCATAAATAATACAAATTCATTTTCTTACAATTCCAGAGGCTGGAAGTTCAAGATCAAAATGTTGACAGGTTTGGTTCTCCTGAGGCCTCTCTTTGGCTTACAAATGCTACTTCTCACTCTGTCATGTGGCCTTTCATCTGTGTGTGCTCATTCCTGAGGTCTCTTCTTCTTACAAGGACACTAGTCCTATTGGATTAGGGCCCACACGAATGACCTCATTTTAACTTACTCGCCTGTTTAAAGACCCTATCTCCAGATACAAACACATCCTGAGGTGGTGCAGGTTAGTACGTCTGCTTGTAAATTTTGGGTGGGAGCACAATTCAGTCTGTAACCAACTATCTGATTTCTCTCTCTTCTCTCTCTCTCTCTCTGTCTCTCTCTCTCCCCCTTTCATTTGCCTAGTTTTCAAACCTGTTGTTCTTAAACCTGGAGTGCTATAAAGTTGATAGTTTTTTAAAAATAAAATTAATATATATTTGAAAACTGCTGACTGCATTTTCATCCTGACCCGTCTTGCTTCCAACAATGGAAACCAGTCACTTTCCCATCTGTAAGGCAGAGTTTCCAATTTCTACTCTGGGATTATTGTGGGTATTTAATAATTTAATGAAAACACCTAATTCTGGTCCACAGATAGTCATCCATGCTTGCCAGTTTCTTTACTTTTATATGTACTGTTCATTTAGATTAAAGCAAAGGGAAAACAATTCCACTGATTGTCAAATACAACTTTAAATTTACATTGTATGGGAAAATTTTCCAGATGACTGAAAGAGCCAGTTTACATTCAGCAACAGTTACAGACATTCTTAAAAATGAAGGAATAATTTGTGCAGACCATAGGAAAATTGGTGATAATCTGACAAAACCATAACAAAATCTTGTTTGTAACAACATATTTTACTCCATTATAGAAACCACATATACAAGCCACTGTTGGAAATAGTTTGTCTTGTTATAATCAGGGTTTTATTTAATTCAAGCCACTCATTTATACATGCATCACCTGACATATTTTGCCTTCAAGGTAAAAATAAAGCAATGAGAAAACCGTCTACTTTTATCCACATGTAAGCTTTAAATCTAGAAAGATAGCATAGTGACTCTAGAGGTGACAGTGCAGTTGGTGAAAGAGCCAGACATCCAGGGTACAAGTCTTGACTTTTCAATTTACTGGTGTAGTGACATTGAGCAAGTTTACTTCTCTGTGTTTCGATTTCTTCATGCATTCGAAGAAAGAACATTCAACTTATGCATATGCAAACGCTTAGACAATAGGTAGTATTGCACATGCTCTACTTACTGTGAGTCCAGTTCAAGGAAAAAGAACCTAAATCCTGCTGAGTAATGCTTGGTCTATTTCTTTTAAGTAACATTTTAAATCATCATCACCTAATCATTTGTTTCTTTTCAAAATTTGTTTTATAATATATTAAAAATAACGATTTATATTCATTTCAGAAATTATAGATTTTACCAAAAATATTGGAACTAGAGAAATTCCTCATAAATTCCATAACTCAAAGATAATAACTGTTAACATCCTTGCCAATCTTTTTGTACATGTAGTCGCACATGCCAAAGCATATTTTAAATAAATAGAAGTATTCAATATATATTAGGTTATCTACTCATTTTGCATGTTCGAGGTTATTTGTACTAATACAATCATTATAATATGTGTTCTCTATGAGTTAAAGGTTGATATACTGTACTGGCTTTATTTTTAAAAATAAATGTACAATTTTATTCTAATAATAAAATGTTCAATGACAAATATTCATTGAGAATTAGTATGTGTTAGGAGCTGAAGATAAAACACACAAATAAACATGAATGAGATATGAAGCCATGAGGGAACAGAGAGGGAGATGACTTAAGAGCTGGAAGATGGCTTTCAGGAGCTCCATAGGACTCCTCTAGGCAAATGGTGGGTGGAATTGGAGGAATGGAAGAGGAGAATGGATTGCGGGGAATAGAGCCCAAAAGCAAAGGAAACAGCAAGGAGTTCTCTGGCCACCATGGATCCCAGTGTTGGTGGCTGGAGCTGAGACTGCCGTGGTCTCCTGGATCAGAAAAGATCCCCAAACCACTGTGTGAGGAGCCTGGATGTCATGTGAGGTCCCAGGGGGCAGCTATGACACAAGTCAGGGCAGTCAAATTAAAGAAAGTTTCTTTTAAGTATTTTATTTTATTTTCAAATTTGCAAAATTGTATATATTTATTGTGTACAACATGATGCTTTACTATCTCATATATATGTGTGTATATATATATATACATATATATATGAATGGCTGAATCAAGCTAGTTAAGCATTACCTCACAGTTATTTTTGTAGTAAGAACACTTGAAATCTACTATTTTAGCATTTTTTCAAGAGTACAATATGGTATGTTGTTGTTAACTTAGTAACCATGTTATACAATAGATCTCATGAACTTATTCTTCCTATCTAGCTGAAATTTTGTATTATTTGACCAATGTCTTTCCAATCATCCCTCCCCATTGCCCCAGCCCCTGGTCACCATCATTTTACTCTCCACTTATATAGTTCACCTTTTCAAGATTTCATATGCGAGTGAAATCATGTAGCATTTTTCTTTCTATTACTGGCTTATTTCACTTAACATAATGTCCTTCAAGTTCATCCATGTTGTAGCAAATGATAAGATTTCATTCTTTTTTATGGTCAACCAGTCTTTCATTGTCCACATATACCATGTTTTCTTTATCCATTCCTCCACTGATGGACACTTAGATTGAGTCCATCTCTTGACTGTTTGTGCCCTCACAAAATTAATATGTTGAAATCCCGCTACTCAATGGTTTTAGGACGTAGAGCCTTTGGGAGGTAACTAGGTCACGAGGACTCTGCCCTTCCGAATAGGATTAGTGCCCGTATAAAAGAGGGTGAAGAGAGCATCTTACCTCTCTCAACATGTAAGGACAAAAGAGGAGAAGGTGCTATCTATAAGGAACCAAGCACTTGCCAGACAGTCAATCTGCTGATGCCTTGATCTTAGACTTCCCAGCCTCCAGAACTGTGAGAAATAAATTTCTTTTGTTTATAAGTCACCTGATTAAAGGTATTTTTGTTATAGTATCTCAGAATAGACTAATACACAAGTACATAGAAATAGAATTGATTTTTGTATATTGATTTTGGATCCTTTAGGCTTATTGAATATATTCATTTGTTCTAATGATTTTTTAGTGGATTTCTTAGGATTTTCCATATACAAGAAAATAGAGATAGTAGCAAATAGAGATGGTTTTACTTCTTCTGTTCCTCTCTAGTTGCCTTTTATTTCTTTTTCTTTCCTGATTGCCTTTGCTATACTCTCCAATATAGTTTTAAGTAGAAATGGTGAGAGTGGACATTCCTTTCTTGTTCTTGATCTTACAGTTCCAGTCTTAGAATTGAGTTATTTACCATTAAGCATGGTGTTACCTGGGGATGTTTGTATATGTCCCCTATCAGGTTAAGGAAGCTCACAACTATTCCTAGTTTATTTAATGTTTTTTTTTCTTTTTGCTATGAAAGAGTGTTGGATTGATCTGTGCTTTTTCTGCATATACTGAGATGCTTATGGTTTTTGCTTTTTTATTATATTGATATGGGTTATTGCATTAATTGGTTTTTGGATATTAAACCAACTTTGCATTCCTGTGATAAATCTCACTTATTCATAGTGTGGAATCCTTTTTATATGTCAATAGATTTGGTTTGTAAGTATTTTGTAAAGGTTATATACGTAAGGGATATTGGCCTCTAGTTTTCTTTTCTTTCAATGTCTTTTTCTGGTTTTACTATCAAGGCAATACTGATCTCACAGAATGTGATAGCACTTTTTATACTCTTTTATTATTTGGGAGCCTTGAGAATAATTGATATTAATTCTTTAAATGTTAGTTAAAATTCATCAGTAAAGCCATGTGACCCTAGGCTTATTTGTGGGTAGCTTTTTAATTACTCATTTAAACATTACTTGTTATAGGCCTATAGAAATTTTCAAATTCTCTTTGAATTAGGTTAAGTAGTTTGTGTCCTCCTAGGTTTTTTTTTTTTTTTTTTTTTTTGAGATGGAGTTTTGCTCTTGTCACCCAGGCTGGAGTGCAATGGCACAGTCTTGGCTCACTATAACCTCTGTCTCCCGGATTCAAGTGATTCTTCTGCCTCAGCCTCAGGAGGCTGGGAATAGAGGTGCCCACCACTATACCCAGATAATTTTTGTATTTTCAGTAGAGACGGGGTTTCACCATGTTGTTCAGGCTGGTCTCGAACTCCTGACCTTAGGTGATCCACCCACCTTGGCCTCCCAAAGTGCTGAGATTACAGACGTGAGCCACCATGCCCAGCCCTATGTATTTTTCTATTTCATCTAATTTATCTAATTAGATAAAAATTAATTAATCTAATTAAACAAAGAAATACAGTTAAAAGTGAGCAGAAGACTTCTATTTCATCTAATTTATCTAATTTAATGGTGCACAATTCTTCATAATATTTCTTTATTCCTTGAAGTTTTGTAGTATTGTCCACCATTTCATATCTGATTATATTAACTTGAGTCTTTTCTCTTTTTCCTGGTTAACCTAAGGTTGGCAATTTTGTTGATCTTAACAAAAAAATAACTTTTGGTTTTACTTATTTTCTCTATATTTTTACGTCCATGTATCATTAATTTACATGCTATTATTTTCTTCCTTCTGCATACTTTATAGTGAGTTAGTTTGCGTTTCTATTTCCAGTGCCTTAATGTAGAAGTTTAGGTTGTTGGTTTAAGAATTTTTTTTCTTTTCTAAACTATAGACATTAAAAGCTATGCCGTTATTTTCATTCATTTCAAACTTTTCTATTTTGTGCCATGGCTATTGAAGTCTCCTGCTCACTTTTAACTGTATTTCTTTGTTTTTTTTTTTGTTCTTGTATTCACATTGACTCTCCTGACTGGAAGCCACTGCCTTATGAATGAGCCAGATGACACTGGGACCCCAGGATTCTCAGCACTCCATGTCTGAGGCAGTCTACACCTAGTAGTGGCAACTGGATGGAAGAAGGAATTCATGATACCTTGGCTGAAATTGCCTAGAATGTAGCCTCTGCTACAAGTAGCTGGGGGACAGGATGAGACATGCTGATGTGCTACTCCTCTTGGGAAGATATCTTAGCCCTTGACTTGCTGCTGGGGGAAATGGGAGCCATCGGTTTTTGGCTACACCAGTCTGGAGTGAAGTTTCTTTTACATTGAGCTGGGAAGACAAGAAAGGAAGGATATTATAACTTAAATGCCATAGACTTTCATATTCTTATTCAATTTTAGTAGACTTACATGGATTTATTAGATTTTCTATCATGTTCCAGAAATACAAATTAGCTGCCTTCTTAAAATTTTTCACAAGTTTCACTGGGGAGTTGGTCTGCCCAGATCCTTATGTTGCCATGCTGGATGTGGAATTCCCCATGGTTCCTTTCAAAGTTATTTTGTCCTTATTTCCTTCTAAAGTAACTCTGCTAAAGATTGGCATAAATTTTTCATCTTCACTTGCATTTGACATAGATGGCTTTGACATGGACATGAGAGCCATTGGATTGAGATGTTCACTGCAGCCTTTATCACCAAGTGAACTTAGTTCATTTGACTGGGGTATTTGTTATCTATTGTTAGGTACCAAAATATCACAGTCCTAGTGGCTTAAAATGACATACACTCATTACAGTTTCTCAGTGTCAGCTGTCAAAGCCTGACTTAGCTGGATCTTTTAATTAATTATCTCTCATAAGACTATAAGCAATGTGTTGATCAAGAAACTGATTTCATCTCAAAGCTCAACTGGTGAGTTACTTCTGAGCTCATGCAGTGTTGACTGCTGATAGTTCCTTGTCAGTTGTAAGCCTAAGGACTTGAGTGTCTTCTTGGCTGTTGGCTGGGGCCACCCCATTGTTCCTTATGATTTTCTTTATGATTAGGTCACCTCCCTAGGGAAGCTTGCAACATAGCAGCTTGTGTCATCAAAACTGGCAAGGGATAAGAGAATCTATTAGCAAGACAGGTTACCATATTATGCAAAGTAGTCATGGAATGACATCCACCTTTGCCAGATTCTACTGCTGAGAAGTGAGTCACAGGGTCCCACCCACACTCAGAAGGAGAGCACTAAAGAGGAGTATGAATTTAAAGAGTTAGAGATTTAGGGGTCAATCTTAGGGTTGGTCTGCCCCAGTTGGGAAGGGGTCTCTTTCTGCCTTGATCCGTGGCTGGGCCTCTGCCAAAGAGGGTAACACTTCCACAGAAAGGAGCCTGCAAAGAGCCTATTTTAAGTCTTTGGGTTTTTCCCCCAGACATTTCTTCTTCCTGGAATTCTGGGCATTAATGTATTTTAGTTACTTTTATACCATTAACAGCCTTCTTTCTCTGGCTCCTTAATGTGTTTTTCTTTGCTGTCTCTCATGTGTGTAGGTTTTTGCTGGAGATCTGCCTTATCCCTCTGTCATTCCCAACTACAGTAAATCCCTCAAGGATTTTATTCTCTGATAGTTACACTTTAACTCCATGAAGAGAGACTCTCAACCTACATTGTTTTACTCACTTTCTCTCATCTCCTCATTTGTATGCCCAATCACCTGGCTGGAAATACCTGGTTATTTTTAAGGCTTTTTAAAATGTAGTTTTTTCAAAAAATGAACACAAATACCTGCAGAAGCATATATTTCCATTTCCCCAAAAAGAAAACTTACAGTTTATGAACACCCTGCACCCCGTGAGCTAAGTACTTTCTACACTCCCTTCTCATGGCATCATGTGTGTGTATGTGTGTGTGTATACTCCCAAAGATTTGTGATGAACATATATTCTTATATGTCATTTTTCTTTAGAAACTTTTGCTGTCTCTTATCTGATCACAGAGTGATTCCATTTTCTTGGATAGCAACTAAAGCCCCTCACACTATTTAGAATCTACTTTTGGCAAATCGACACCCAATCCCTTCCTCTACTTTTTCAATTCACTCGCTGATTATCCTAATCAGCGCATGGTTTCATCAGCACACCAGACTGTTTATGCCTTTATAATAACACTCATGCAATATTACTGCCTATTGTATTGTCTGATAAGGATCCTATTAATTAGAAATACATCATGAAACAGGAAAAAATAAAAATTTTATGTATTTCTATAAACACATTTGAAAGAACAATAATAATGTGAGTATGCGTGCAATCACTACTAAGATTTAATAATAAGACTTTGTAACTACCAGGCATACAACCTGTATATGTTCTTCCCCAATTGTATCTTCCCACCCTCTCTCTTAAGCTATTTTGACATTTCAATAGCACTCCCTTGCTTTTTGTAAATATAATTTTATAACCTATACATGGATATTTAAATAATGAGATATTTGATTTTACCTTGTTTCGCAATTCATATGAATAGAGTCATATTATAAGTATTCTTCTATTACTTGCAGTTTTTGCTGAAAATTATATTTCTAAGATTCAGCTATTTTGGTGCCTTTGGCTGTATTATTAATCTTTTTATTACTTTGTAATATTCCATTTTACAGTATGCCACAATTTATTTATCTAATCTACTGTTGGAGATTTAAATTGTTTTCAGATTTTGGCTGCTACAAATGATGCTGTTTTATATATTCTTATACAGGTCTTGTAGCTCACATATGCAAGAGTTTCTTTAAAATCTGTACCTAGGTTTGAAATTTCTTTAGTTAAGAACATGTGAGTGTTGGTTTTTGCCAAAATGAGTTGCACGATTGCTGTGGTTTGAGTGTTTGTCTCCTCTAAAACTCATGTTGAATTTTAATTGCCATTGTAACAATATTAAGAGGTAGGAGTTTTAGAGGTGATTAGGTCATGAGAGCTGCTCTCATTGTTGGATTAATGTTGTTACTGTGAGAGTGGTTCTGTTACAGTATAAGTGGGTTTCTTATAAAAGGAGGAGTGCGGTCCCCTTTCTCTCTCCCTCTTACTTTTTCTTTGCCCTTCTGCCATGAGATGACACAACAAAAAAAGCCCTCACCAGATGCTGGGCCCATGTCTTGGACTTCCCAGACTCTAGAAGTATGAGCCAATAAATTTATCTCCATTATAAATTATGCAGTCTCAGGTATTCTGTGATAGCAGCACAAAACATAGTAAGATAATTTACACACTTATCTGCTCTGTATGGAATTGCCATAGCTACACATTCTAATGCTTTTTCATACAAGATATCTGTGATAGTTCATTTTATATGTCAAGATGACCTGATTAAGGGATGCCTAGGTAGCTAGTAAAGTGTTACTTATGGGTGTGTCTCAGAACGTTTCCAGTGGAGACTGGTGTGTGAATCAGTGAACTGAGTGTGGGAGAGCTGTCCTCAATGAGGATAAGCACCATCCAGTTGGTTCCAGTCCCAGATAAAAAGACAAAGAAAAGGCAAATTCGCTTTCTCTCTCCCTCCTGGAGCTCGAGAGCCTTTGTCTCTTGCCCTTGGACATCAGAACTCCAGGTTCTCCAGCCTTTAGACTCTAGGCTTTCACCAGCAGCCCCCTGGGTTTTCAGGCCTTTGCGCTGAGACTAAAAATTACACCATCAGCTTCCCTCGTTCTGAAACTTTGGACTTGCGCTGAGCCATGATAATGGCTTCCCTGGGCCTTCAACTTGCAGACTCTGGTCTGTTGTAGGACTTCTCAGCCTCCATAATCACATGAGCCAATTCCAGTAATAAATTCCCTCTCATCTAGCTATCCGTTCATCCATCCATCCATTAATCCATCCATCCATCTATCAATATCTTATTGGTTCTATCTTTCTGAAAATACTGATTAATGCCATGTCTTAATATTTACCAACTGTAGGGTCCAGCCCTACAGGGCTTAGTGGGTGTTCTCCCCATGTGTGGAGAGGAGAGATTGTAGTAAATAAAGGCACAAGACAAAGAGATAAAGAGAAAGCAGCTGGGCCCAGGGACCACTACCATCAAGACACAGAGACCAGTAGTGGCCCCAAATGGCTGGGCTCACTGATATTTATTGCATACAAGACAAGGGGGCAGGGTAAGAAGGGTGAATCTTCTAAGTGATTGACAAGGTGAATCAAGTCACGTGATTACAGGATAGGGGTCCTTCCCTTTTAGGTAGTCAAAGCAGAGAGAGAGAGAAGGCAGCATATGTCAGCGTTTTCTTCTCTGCACTTATAAGAAAGATCAAAGACTTTAAGACTCACTATTTCTTCTACCGCTATCTACTACGAACTTCAAAGAGGACCCGGGAGTACGGGAGGAGCATGAAAGTGGACAAGGAGCATGACCACTGAAGCACAGCACCACAGGGAGGGGTTTAGGCCTCCGGATGACTGCGGGCAGGTCTGAATAATATCCAGCCTTCCACAAGAAGCTGGTGGAGCAGAATGTTCCCTGACTCCTCCAAGGAAAGGAGACTCCCTTTCGCGGTCTGCTAAGTAACGGGTGCTGTCCCAGACACTGGTGCTACCGCTTGACCAAGGAGCCCTCAAGCGGCCTGTATGTGGGTGTGACAGAGGGCTCACCTGTTGCCTTCTAGGTCACTTCTCACAGTGTCCCTTCAGCACCTGACCCTGTACCCACCGGTTATTCCTAGGTTCTATTAGAAATGCAACAAAGAGTAATATTAAAAGCTAATGATTAATAATGTTTATAATAATGATTGATAATTGTCCAAGATCATCGCTATATCTAATTTGTATTATAACTATTGTTATTCTATTTTCTTTATTATATTGAAACAGTTTGTGCCTTCAGTCTCTTGCCTCGGCACCTAGGTAATCCTCCGCCCACAATCAACCTATTAGAGTTGTAATGATGTCTTTTGCAGGTTTAATTTATGTCTTCCTCCTTGCCAATGATGTTTAGCATATTTTCATGTGTTTCCTGGCCATTTAAGTTTTCTGTTTTTTGCAGTGGCTGTTGAAATCTTTTGCTCCCTTCTAACTGGATTTTTCCCTTTTTCTTATTAATTTATGTGTTCATTTACATATTCTAGACAAAGAGGTGGCACACATTTTTTACAATCTTCATGACATATTTTGATGCAAACACTTTTAAAATTTTTATTATATGCAAGTCTATCAATATCTACCTTTACAATGTTTGCTTTATTTTCTTAAGAAAGCATTCATATAAAGTCTTGATAATTGCTGATACTATTATTTATGAACTTTAAAATTTATCTTTTTAATCCATCCAGAATTAAATAGTTGCATGGTGTGAGAAAGTGGTTTGACTTCATTTTTTTCCCATTGAAGATACGCCATTATCTTGTCACAATTTATTAACATGTACCTCATTTCCCCACTGATGTGTCATATCACCTCTGTCATTCATCCGTTTCTGAGATCTACAATCTTTTCCACTTATCTTTTGGAACTTATTTTAAAATCACACTGTTCTATTTTTATCACTTCAAAACAAACCTTAGTGTTTCATAGGGTTAATCTCTCCACCTTGTCCCATTTTTCAATGATTTGGAAGTTTTAGAAGTAAAGAGAAATTTTGGAAACATTTAGTCATTTTCCTGTTAAATAAATACATAAACTGTATGTGGTGGCTCATATTTGTAATCCCAGTGCTTCGGGAAGCCCAAGGCAGAGGATTACTTGAGGCCAGCAGTTTAAGACTAGCTTGGGCAACAACACAGAGAGACCCCCTTCTCTACATTAAAAAGAAAACAATTAGCTAGGCATGGTGGCATTTGCCTGTAGTCCTAGCTACTCGGGATGCTGAGGTGGAAGATCCCTTAGGCACAGGAATTGGGGGCTGCATTGAGCTATGACCTTTCCACTGCCCTGCACTCCAGCCTGGGTGACAGAGTGAGATTCTGACTCTAAATACATGCATACTTAGATACGTGCATATGTGCATACATAAGCCATTGTAATTAAACCTCTTGAGATTTGATGAAGATTGCAATGATTCTATAGATAAATTCATGGAAAGGTAGAATCTCTAAAATATTGAGTCTTCCAATCTATGAACATGCTTTTCTTCATTTATATAACTTCTTTTGTAAATACTTTTCTTTAATAACATTGAATAACATTAATAAAGTTTTCTATGAATATCTATCACATATTTTTAGATTTATTCCTAGATACTTTATAATTTTGATATCATTGTAATTGTATCTCTTTTAAACTTATTTATCTAATAGGTAAATATGCAAATAATTTTTGGACATTGATTTCATATCTAGTTTCCTTGTTATATACTTCTATTCATTATAATGCTTCACCTGTATCTTTTTAATTTTCTATTATGCAATCAAATAATCTGTAAGAGAGATAGTTTTGGTTTTTTTTTCTTTCGGATCAACATTAATTTAAAATTTCTTCTTGTACTCTATAGTACTAGCTAAAATATTTAGTATACTTTTAAATAGCAGTGGTAATCAGGCATCCTTATCTGGTTCCTTAATCTCAAAGTCAGTTTTTGTTGTTGATATCCTTTATCTGGTAAAGGAAGGTCTTTATTTTTTAATCTAATTTGCTAAAAGTCATTATTTTGCTTTTGTCTGTTTAATTTCAAAATGAAGATAATATTTTATAAACCTTTTTCTGTACCTATTGGGATGACCAAAACATTTGATACCTTAATCTGTTCATGTCCATAATATTAATTAATGTTTTAAAATGTCAAATCCACATTACATATCTGGAATAAGCTTACTTGATCATGGTGCATCATTCTTTTTGTACGTTATTCTATCTAGTTTGCTAATATTATGTATAGATTTTTGCATTCATATTAATAAGTAATGTTGGCCTTTCTTATACTGCCTTTTGTTTATACTATTTTACCTGCCATGATTTACATTTAGACTACTAAAAAGATGTTCAGTGCAGATCAATGTAAATGACTATAGAAGTACTTATGGCCTTTATTAATTTGAGAGATGTATAGACATATGAGGAGAATTTCAGTAATTGTTGCACTAAATATGAGTGTGGATCCTGCCATAAGAACTAGCATATTTCTTGAACTAGTAAATATAATTTTAATTATGATTTCTGGACTTGGGAAAAGTCTGAACAAAATTACTACTCTTTTATTAAAATTATCATTGACTTCTGCTGCTTGTCTCACTGGCTACCGGTGCTGAGTCAGCTTATCCGCTTGTCTCTAATGTACATGCTCTGCAGTGAAACGTACCAGTCAGTTACAGTGCCAACGGGATACAATGTCCTTTTACCAGTGAGGAGAACATGGGGCATGCTCTTTTATTTCGCTTTCATTATATTGCCCCTGTACTTGCTTTCCTCCAATTAACAGTTAATCTTTTAGGTTAATTTTTCCTTCCAGAAAAATATTTGATCAATTGTAAAATCTAAAACTCATAAACCTGTAAATAGTTAGAAACCAACTGGTTAAATCATTCATTCGTTCACTCACTCATTTATTCGTATGTTTACTGAGCACCTAAGGCACTGTGGCATGCAGACAATAATTGAATATGCACGTTTTCATTCAGTCCTCTTGTTGCACAAAGGTGGCTCATTCTTGCTCTTAGCTCTGTCTGGTGTCTGCATCCTAAACTTCTCCGAGTTAGCCTCCTTAGTAAGTTAAGTTTATACCAGCATTTTTTTCTTAATTCTCCAGGGCAGGGATGGGTAAATCTGTTACTGCTTATGGTAGTGGGGTATATATCAGTATCCAACTGCTCCTTAAATAAATTCTCAATTAGTCCTTCTGTTTTCCTCCACATATGGTAACCCTGATATTACCCATTAGAGCACCTGATGCCTCCTGTTTTCCAAATTATCCCCAGGATCTGAGGAGTAATCAATATCCTTGCATTAGTGGGTCACTGGCATTCCCATCCCCAAACACAACCTTCAGCACTCTCAGCTTTTCTCTTGCTGTTGACACTCACTCATCTTTTGTCTATCTTCTATTTTATACTATCTCTACCTTGTGGCCATCCCTCTAAATCTCTATGTTTTTTTTTCCACAAGATCTTACATTTCTTATCTATCAAAGAAGAAGTGCCAAGAGAAATTTTAAAAATACTTTGAACTAAATGAAAATGAAAGTACAACTTATCAGAATTTATAGAATACAATGAAAGCAATGCTTAGAAGGAAAGTCATAGCATTAAGTGCATATACAGGAAGAGAAGGACAATTTAACATTCATAAGCCAAGCTTTCACCATAGGAAACTACAGAAAGAAGAGCAATTTAAGTTAAAACAAGGAAAAGAGAAGAAATAATATAAATTATAACAGAAATCAATGAAATTCTAAATAGGAAAATTGTAGAGAAAGTCAATGAATCTAAACCTGGTTCTTTAAAAGGATTGATAAAATTGATAAATTTCTATCCAGGTTAACTAATAAGAAGAGATAAAACGCATTTCATTTTATTATTAGTACTAGAAATGAAAGACAATTCATCATTGCTGATCCCAATGATATTGAAAGGATAGTAAAGGAACACAACTGTATGCCCACAAATATGATAGCTTAGATGTAATGAAAAAATTCCTTGAAATATGCAAATCTCAAAAAATCACATAAGGAGAAATAGATAATCAGAATAGTGATATATCCATTAAGGGACATACCTCAAAGTAATAAGAGCCATCTATGACAAACTCACAGACAACATCATAGTAAGTGGGCAAAAGATGGAAGCATTCCCCTTGAAAACTGGTATAAGACAAGAATGCCCTCTCTCACCACTCCTATTCAACCTATTATTGGAAGATCTGTCCAGAACAATCAGGCAAGAGAAAGAAATAAAGGACATCCACATAGGAAAAGAGGAAGTCAAACTATCCCTGTTTGCAGATGACATGATTCTATATCTAGAGAACCACATGGTCTTAGCCCAAAAGTTCCTTAAGCTGATAAACAACTTCAGCAAAGTCTCGGTATACAAAATAAACATACAAAAATCACTAGCAGCTGGGCGTGGTGGCTCATGCCTGTAATCTCAGCACTTTGGGAGGCTGAGGCGGGCAGATCACCTGAGGTTAGGAGTTCGAGACCAGCCTGGCCAACACAATGAAACTCCATCTCTACTAAAGAGACAAAAAAATTGGCCAGGCGTCGTGGTGCATGCCTGTAATCCTAGCTACTTGGGAGGCTGAGGCAGGAGAGTCACTTGAACTTGGGAGGTGGAAGTTGCAGTGAGCCAAGATTGTGCCATTGCACTCCAAGAGTGAGACTCCATCTCAAGAAAAAAAAAAAAAAATTACTAGCGTTCCTGTACACTAACAACAGCCAAGCCAAGTGCCAAATCGGGAATGCTATATCATTCACAACTGCCACAAAAAGAATAAAATACCTAGAAATACAGCTAAGCAGCGAGGTGAAAGATCCCTACAATGAAAATTATAAAACACTGCTCAAAGAAATAAGAGATGACACAAACAAATGGAAAAACATCCTATGCCCATGGATAGGAAGACTCAATATTGTTAAAATGGCCATAGTGCTCAAAAGTATTTATAGATTCAATGCTATTCCTATCAAACTAACAATGACATTTTTCACAGAAGTAGAAAAAAAATCAAAATTCACATGAAACAAAAAACAACAACAAAAAAGAACCTGAATAGCCAAGACAATCTAAGGCAAAAACAACAAAGCTGGAGGCATCACACTACCCAACTTCAGACTATACTACGGGGCTATAATAACCAAAACATCATGGTACTGGTACGAAAACAAACACATAGACCAATGGAATAGAATAGAGAGCCTAAAAATAAGACCACACACCTACAACCATCTAATCTTCAACAAAGGTGACAAAAACAAGCAATGAGAAAGGACTCAAGGACCTATTCAATAAATGGTTCTGAAATAACTGGCTAACTACATGCAGAAGACAGAAATTGGACCCCTTCCTCACACTATATACAAAAATCAACTCAATATGGATTAAATACTTAAATGTAAAACCCAAAACTATAAAAACCCTGGAAGACAGCCTAGGCAATACCATTCCGGACATAGAACCTGGCAAAAATTTCACGATGATGCCAAAAGCAATTGCAACAAAAGCAAAAATTGACAAAAGGGATCTAATTAAACTGAAGAGCTTCTGCGAAACAAAATAAACATCAAGAGAGTAAACAGATGACCTACAGAATGGGAGAAAATGTTTGCAAACTATGTATCTGACAAAGGTCTAATATACAGCATCTACAGGGGACTTACAAAAATTTTCAAGAAAGGAAACAAATGAAAAAAGTGAAAGTATCTGTTCATGTCCTTTGCCCATTAAAAAATAGGTAAAGGATATGAGCAGACACTTTTCACAAGAAGACATACACGTGGCCAACAGCATATGAAAAAAGCTCAATATCACTGATTACTAGAGAAATGCAAATCAAAACCACAGTGAGATGCCATCTCACACCAATCAGGATGGCTATTAGTAAAAAGTCAAAAAATCACAGAGGCTGGCAAGGTTGCAGAAAGCGACAAATGCTTGTATACTGCTGGTGGGAGTGTAAATTAATTCAATCATTGCATAAATCATTATGGTGACTCCTTAAAGAGCTAAAAGCAGAATTATTATTTTGCTGCAAAAGTAATTGCAGTCTTTGCCATTACTTTTAATGGCTAAATGATGAGAACACATGGACACAAAGAGGGGAACAACAGACACTGGGCCTACCTGAGAGTGGAGGGTGAGAGGAGTGAGAGGGTCAGGAAAAAAAAGAAAACAAAACCATTGGGTACTAGACTTAGTAGGTGGGTGATGAAATAATCTGTACGGCAAACTCCTGAGACAGGAGTTTACCTATATAACAAACCTGCACATATAACCCTGGACCTGAAATAAAAGTTAAAAAAGTAAATTTTTTTGAATCTTAAAGAGAAATTTAAAATTAGAAGGATGAAAATTATCAAAAAAATAATAAAGTAAAAATTTCCAGAACTGAACAACTTGAGTTTCCAGATGAAAAGAGACCACAAAAAGACCAATCTAATGATTATAGAAATTAATTCATTTATATACTGTACACAACGTGTAGTCCCCAGCCCCCATCCCACCGTTTCCCTGTGTCCCCAAAGTCCATTGTGTCATTCTATGCCTTTGCAACCTCATAGCTTAGCTCCCACTTATAAGTGAGAACATACAATATTTGTTTTTCCATTTGTGAGTTACTTCACTTAGTGTAATGGTCTCCAACTCCATCCAGGTTGCTGCAAATGCCATTATTTCATTCCTTTTAATGGCTGAGTAGTATTCCATTGTATATACATACCACAATGTCTTTATCCAGTCATTGATTAATAAGCATATGGGCTGGTTCTATATTTTTGCAATTGTGAATTGTGCTGCTATAAACATGCATGTGCAAGTATCTCACTGCTTGTTATTGGTTATTGGTCAGTTCAGAGTTTCTATTTCTTCCTGGTTTAATCTAGGACAGTTGTATATTTCCAGGAATTTATCCAACTCCTCTAGGTTTTCTAGTTTATGAGCATGAAGGTGTTCATAGCTTTGAATAATCTTTTGTATTTCTGTGGTATTGGCTGTAATATCTTCTGTTTCATTTCTCATTGAGCTTATTTGAATCTTCTCTTTTCTTTTCTTGGTTAATCTTGCTAATGGTCTATCAATTTTATTTATGTTTTGAAGGAATTAGTTCTTTGTTTCATTTGTCTCTTGTATTTTTTTTGTTTCAATTGCATTTAGCTCTGCTCTGATCTTTATTATTACCTTTCTTCCACTGATTTGGGGTTTGATTTGTTCTTGTTTCTCTAGTTCCTTGAGGTGTGACCTTAGATTTTTTTTTTGTGCTCTTTCAGACATTTCACCCAATAATCATTTAAGGGCAGGTTATTTAATTTCCATGTATTTACATGGTTTTGAGGGCTCCTTTTGCCGTTGATTTCCAATTTTATTCCACTGTGGTTTGAGAGAGTACTTGATATAATTTTGATTTTCTTAAATTTATTGAGACTTGTTTTGTGGCCTATCATATGCTCTGTTCCATGTGCTAATGAATAGAATTTATATTCTGCGGTTGTTGGGTAGAATGTTCTGTAAATATCTGTTAAGTCTATTTGTTCTAAGGTATAATTTAAATACATTGTTTCTTTGCTAACATTCTCTCTTGATGACTTATCTAGTGCTGTCAGGGGAGTATTAAAGTTCTCCACTGTTATTGTGTTGCTATCTACCTCATTTCTTAGGTCTAATAGTAACTATTTTATAAATTTGGGAGCTCCAATGTTAGGTGCATATATATTTAGGACTGTGATTATTTTCCTGTTGGACAAGTCCTTTTATAAGTACATAATGTCCCTCTTTGTCTTTTCTGTTTGCTGTTGCTTTAAAGTTTGTTTTGTGTGATGTAAGAATAGCTACTCCTGCTCACTTTTGGTGTCCATGTGCATGAAATATCTTTTCCCACCCCTTTACCTTGAGATTATGTGAGTCCTTATGTGTTAGGTGAGTCTCTAGAAGACAGCAGATACTTGCTTAGTGAATTCTTATCCTTTCTACCATTCTGTCTTTTAAGTGGAGCATTTAGGCCATTTACATTCAATATTAGTATTGAGATGTGAGATACTATTCTATTCATTATGCTAGTTGCTGCCTGAATACCTTAAGTTTTTTTTTTTTTATTGTGTTTTTGTTTTATAGGTCTTGTGAGATTTATGTTTTAAGGAGGTTCTATTTTGGTGTATTTCAAGGAATTATTTCAAGATTTACAGCTCCCTTTAGCAGCTCTTGTAATGCTGGCTTGGTAGTGGTGAATTCTTTCAGCATTTGTTTGTGTGAAAAATATGGTATCTTTCCTTCATTTATGAAGCTTAGTTTTGTTGGATATAAAATTCTTGGCTGATTTTGTTTAAGGAGCCTAAAGATAGGGCCCTAATCCCTTCTAGTTTGTAGGGTTTCTGCTAAGAAATCTGCTGTTAATCTGATAGGTTTTTCTTTATATGTTACCTGATGCTTTTGCCTCACAGCTCTTAAAATTCTTTCCTTCATCTTGACTTTAGATAACCTGATGACTATGTGCCTAGGCAATGATCTTTTTGCAATAAATTTCCCTGGTGTTCTTTGAGCTGCTTGTATTTGGATGTCTAGATCTCTAGCATGGTCTGGGAAGTTTTTCTTGATTATTCTTGATCATGTTTTCCAAACTTTTAGATTTCTATTATTCCTTGGGACCATGAATTATTCTTAGCTTTGGTTGTTTAATATAATCCCAAACTTCTTGGAGACTTTGTTCATTTTTTTTTTTACTCTTTTGTCTTTGTCTTTGTCAGATTGGGTTAATTCAAAAGACTTGTCTCCAAGCTCTGAAGTTCTTTCTTCTACTTGTTTGATTCTATTGCTGAGACTTTCCATTATATTTTACATTTCTCTAAGTGTGTCCTTCATTTCCAAAAAATCATGATTGTTTTTGATGTATGCTATTTATTTCACTGAAGATTTTTCACTTCATATCTTGTATGAAGAATTTGATTTCATTAAGCTGGAGTTCACCTTTGTCTGGTCTGTCCTTGATTAGCTTAATAATTAACCTTCTGAATTCTTTTTCTGGCAATTCTGAGGTTTTTTTTTTCTTGGTTTGGATCCATTGCTGGTGACCTAGTGGGATATTTTTGGGGGGATTAAAGAACCTTGTTTTGTCATATTACCAGGATTGTTTTTCTGGTTCCTTCTCATTGGGTAGACTATGTCAGAGGGAAGATCTGAGACTAAAGGGCTGCTGTTCAGATTCTTTTGTCCTCCGGCATGCTCACTTGATGTGGTGCTCTCCCCTTCCCCTAGAGATGTGGCTTCCTGAGAGCCACATTCGTGATTGTTATTTCTCTTTGGATGTAGCCCCCAGGCAGAGCTACCAGGCTCTGGGCTGCTACTGGGGAGTGTCTTCATGGAGTCCTGTAATGTGATCCATTTTTAGGCGTTTCAGCTGTGGATACCAGCACCTGCTCCAGTGGAGGTGGCAGGAGAGTGAAATGGACTCTGTGAGTCCACATGGCTGTAGGTTTGTTTACTGCACTACTTTTGTGTTGGTGGACCTCCAGCCAGGAGGTGGCACTTTCAAGAGCACATCAGTTGCAGCAGTATAGGGAGGATCATGGGGTAGGTGGGGTCATAGAACTCCCAAGAGATCATGTCCTTTGTCTTCAGCTACAAGGGCAAGCAGAGAAGGACAATCAGGTGGGGGCAGGGTTAGGCATGTCTGAACTCAGAGTCTCCTTGGTGGGGCTTGTTGTGGCTGCTTTGGGGATGGAGGTATGATTCTCAGGCCAATGGAGTTATATTTTCAGGGCGATCATGGCTGCCTCTGCTGCCTCATGCAGGTTGCCAGGGAAGTGGGGGAAAGCTGGCAGTTACAGTCCTACCTAGCTCCCATGCAGCCAAAAGGCCGGTCTCATTCCCACTGTGACCCAACAACAGCACTGAGTTTATTTCCAGGCAGCAGGTGAGCAGGGCTGAGAACTTGCCCCAGACTACCAGCCTCCTGGCTGAGAAAGCAAGCAGGGCTTTCATGTTTCATGCCTCCCTGCCTGCCATGGCTTCTTTGCTGGGTCTACACTCCCAATTTGCCCCCTCCACCAGGTTCTGTCCAGCAAACCTTGCATTTGTTTGAAATTGTTACAAAGTTCAGCTGGAAGTTTCTCTATCCCTATGGTCTTTTCCCAGTTCCTTTGGCAGCCTTCCCCTAGGATCCTTGTGAAACAAACCCGGAAGTGGCTTCCCTGGGGACTTAGAATGCCCACGGGGTTATTTCCACTGCTTCTTGAACCCTTTTATTTCGCTCAGCTCTCTAAATTTGTCTCAGTTCCAGGTCCAATCCTTTTCCCATGATCTGGACCTTCAGGTTCCTCAGTGAGGGTATGTGTTCAGGGGCAGACAATCCCCCTTTCGTACTTTCACACTTTAGGCACTCACAGTTTTTTGGCTGTCCCCAAGGGCCTGCAGTAGCAATCCACTTCCTTCAAAGGGTCTGTGGATTCTCTCTGCTTTCCTGGTATGTTCCTGTGGTAGTTCTTGGAGCAAAAGTTCATAATGTGAATCTCCACATGCTGCTCTGTCTGTCCGAGTTCAAGAGTAGATTTTAAATGTTCTCTTCACAAAAAATGATAAGTATGTGAAATAGTTCATATGTTAATTTGTTGGATTTAGCCATTTCACAATGTATACATATTTCAAAATGTCATCTTTGACACAATAACTATATACAATTTTTATTTTTTAATTGAAAGGTCAATTATTAAAAAGTAAAAAATAAAAAATATTATATCATTTTGAAAACCCATGTGAAAATTTAAAAAAGGTTTTGAAGGAAAATGGTTGATTATATTCTGCTAGATAAATTGATCTATGAAAAATATAATTGAATATCAGCTGGTGAAAGACACTCTTGTAGGTGCTATGAAAGATATTAAAAAGTTTAAGAGAAAAAAGAATTTACATCAGAAATTAATAACCTTCCAAAAAAGTAATGATCATGACAAAATAGTTTCACTGGTGAATTCCACCAATCACTGAAGAAAGAAATATTATTACTTCTCCACCAATTCTCTTAATAATCTCTTCCAGAAAATATAAGCAGAGGGAATATTCCTAACTCATTCTATGAGACTAATATTACACAAATACCAAAACTATATAAAGGCATTACAATAAAGGAAAACTTAGATGAATACCTCTCATGAACATCAATCCAAAATTCCTCAACAAAATATTAGCCAAATGAATCTATCAATTTATAAAAAGAATTATAAACTGCAACAACTTCCTGTTATTGAAGGCTGGTTCAGCAATTTAGTCATTGTGATCTACTCTATCAACAGGAACAAGAGGAAAAATCATATAATTTTTTCAATTCATGCAGAAAAATCATTTGATAAAATCTAACATCCATTCACAATAAAAACTCTAAGTAAAATAGAAATTTAGAAGCAACTTCCTGAACTTGATCAAGAATACCTCCAAAAATATACAGCTAACATCATATTTAATGGTATGAGACTAGATGCTTTCCCAAGGAAATAGAAAGTATACATACTTGGAAGGAAGAAATAAAACTGTTTTTGTTTGCAGATAGCATGATTATCTATGTGTAAAATCCCAAACAGCAGACAGAAAACTTCCTGGAACTAATAAGCAATAGAAATTTCACATAATATAAAGTTGAATACATAAAAGTCAGTTGCTTTTCTACATATCAGCAACACACTGTTGGAATTTGAAAGTTTAAAAAATGCCATTTCACAATAACACCAAAAAAATGAAACATATAAATGTAACAAATTATGTATAGGATCCTATGTGAAAAACAACAAAACTCTGATAGAAGAAATAAAAGAAGATCTAAATAAATAGAAGATGTTCTGTGTTCATGGATTAAAAGATTCAATATTGTTAACATGTCTTTCCAGATTTGAACTAGAGATCCAATAAAATCCAAAACAAAATCCTTACGAGCTATTTTGTAGATATCTACACACTGACTATAAAATTTATATGGAAATTCGAAAGACCTGGAAAGCCAAACAATATTAAAGAAGAACAAAGTTGAAAGACTCATACACCCATTTTCAAGAATTATTTTAAAGCTACAGTAATTAAAGTGGTGGTATGATAACGGAGAAAGAATAGGCAGACCAACAGAAAAGAATTGGGAGGTCTGAAATAGACCCATACACATATTGACAATGAAGCAAAGACAATTCGATTGAGAACAGATACTCTTTTCAACAAATGGTGCTGACACAAATGTGAAAAAATAAGAACTTGGAAACAGACTTTATATCTTGCACAAAAATTAACTCAAAATTCATCATAGACATTTCATATTAACATATCTAAATGTAAAATACAAAACTATAAAACTAAAACTTCTAGAAGAAAAAACTGTAGAAAATCTAGGTAATCTTTAGTTTCATGATGTGTTTTTAACTACAACACCCAAAGCTTGATCCAAAAAAGAAAATTTGGTAAGTTGTATTTTACAAAATTGAAAACTTCTGTTCTGTGAAAGACACTGTTAAAAGAATAAAAATACAAATTTTATGCAGCGATAAAATGTTTTCTGAGCACATATCTGATAAATGACATGTCAAAAATATATGGAGAACTACTAAACTTCAACAATAAGGAAACAAACAACTGAATTTTTTTAAAAATGGACAAAAGATGTGAGCAGACAACTCACCTAATTAAGTAGATAGATGGGAAATTAGTATATAAAAAATGCTTACATCATATATCAGTAGGGAATTGCAAATTAAACAACAACAATGAGATACTGCTACACAGTTATTAGAATGTCTAAAGTCCCAATCACTGACAATACCAAATGCTGATGTGGAGCCACAGAAGCTCTCATTCGTTGCTGGTGTAATTCAGATTGCTACAGCCACTTTAGAAAATAGACTGGCAGTTTCTTACCAAGTTAAACATAGACTTATAATCCAGAAATCATGTTCCTAGGTATTTACACAAATGAATTAAAAACATGTCCACAGTAAAACATTCACAGAAATGTTTAAAGTAGCTTTAGTTGTAGTTGTAAAAACTGAGAGCAACTAAGATGTCCTTTAATAGGTGACTGGATATACAAACTGTGGAATAAAGACAATGGAATATTATTCAGTGAGAAAAAGAAATGAGTAATCAAGCTACAAAATGCATGTATGAAACTTCAATACATATTACTAATTGATAGAGATGAATTTCAAGGAGCCAGATACTGTATGATTCCAACTATGTGATATTCTAGAAAAGTCAAACTATAGATATAGTAAAGAGATAAATGGTTAACAGGAGTTCGGTTCAGGGGAGGGTGGAATAGGTGAAGGAAAGAATGTTTCAGGGCTCTGAAACTATGCTGTATTACACCATTATGGTAGACACATGACAGTATGCATTTGTCAAAACCCATAGAACTTTATAGTACTGGGAATAATCTTAATGTATTAAAAATTAATTTAAAAAATAATGCATCGAGCCCAAAAATTTGAGACCAGTCTAGGAAGCACAGGCAAACCTTGTCTCCACAAAACATAAAAAAAAAATTAGTTAGGCATGGTGGCATGCCCTAGCTGCTTAAGAGGCTGAGATGGGAGGATTGCTTGAGCCCCGGAGGTCAAGGCTGTCGTGAGCTGTAATTGTGCCACTGCACTCCAGCCTGGGTGATAGAACAAAATTCTGTCTCAAAAAAACAAGAAAAAAAAAGATATGTGTTATAAAAATAAGAGGTTGACAGAATCCAGGATGGAACTTCGAATATGACAAAATAATCTAATTGTACTACAAATGTATACACTGACTTAACAGAAAGGGGTGGAGGAAGGGTTGTGACCTTAGCAATTCTGGAAATGAGTGGAGTATTCACAGGGCATTGGTTAACAGTGCTGGTAGTGCTATACACATGTACACTAGAATGAACAACTTAGTAAGCTAATGGCTGATGATGTAAGCCAGGTTTCTCACTCTTAGAGACCGAGTTTACAAATAAGCAAGGGGAGAAGGCTGGGATGACTTATGTGGCAATGGATTAGGCTTGGCAATGTCAGTATAAACTCATATATAGTTTAATATAGATACAGATGTGTACATATAGAAATGTGTATAGACATGTGTTTATATATGGGCTAGTATACAAATATATTTCCCTGTCAGCTGAGAGAGCTTAGGCTACCCTACTAGCAGTGAACACACCTGCTGCCCAGATCTTGGTTTCTAATACTATTCCCCAGTGAAGGGAACTGGAGCTCCTTAGAGAAATCACTGATTCTAAGACTGGGGCAGGAAATAGACAAGAAGAGTCGGGGGCCTCTTTTAGTGCCCAAAGTAAGGAAGTGTTCAAATAAAATTCCCACAATGATGAGAGTATGTCAAAGGGACAGGAGCTAACTGAAAGCATCGCCCATCACCAAGGCTGGAAAAACTTGAGCAGCAATGGCCCCAGGTAAGTAGTATGGGTTATTACCTAAAGTATAAAGTGCATTTCTATGAGCTCTTACTAATATAAACAAATGAATTCAGGAGAATAGACAAATGCCCTATATAGACAAAGTTCCAAATACTTTAATAATTTATTTTACTTTGAAGCTACACACTGAATTTATTAATACAGTACCAAGTTTCTATGTGTAAAAACATCTTTGTACATAGTAATAAAAAAAAGATGAGGCAAGATGCATTAAGCAGAAACCTTCTGGCTCCTTTCCTCTGTATTCTTACAGAGCCACTGATGAATTATGAGCACAATCCTCAACCCTTTAAGTGCGGGCTGCACATAGTGGCTTGTTTCAAAAAATACAGTTTGGAAAGGATGGAAAAAGAGTAACTTTAAAGCGGAGCAACCTGACAACTCCCCTCATTCAGGTGATGAAGGTTAACATCAACAGTGGCAAGTCATATTGATAGCATGTACCTTGATATGATTTGATAAGGATGACACTTTACTTCCATGGTCCCACGTCCTCAAACCCATAACCCCAGTGTAATCGTAAGAAAATGATCAGATGAATCCCAGTGAAGGGGCGTTCTACATAATACCTGACCACAATGGCTCAAAACTGCCAAAATTATCTCAAAAAGGTAAAAAGTCTGAGAAACCATCACATCCAAAAGGAGCCTAAGGAGATAGAACAACCAAAGCTAAGGTAATATCTTGAATGGATTCCTAGATCAGAAGAAGGAGTTAAGTAAAAAATAAGGGAATTTGAAAAAAGTATGGGCTCTAGTTAGTAATTATCAATAAAATAGTTTATTTATTTTTTTTTTTTGAGATGGAGTCTCACTCTGTTGCCCAGGCTGGAGTGTGGTGACACAATCCCAGCTCACTGCAACCTCCGCCTCCCAGGTTCAAGCAATTCTCCTGCCTCAGCCTCCGAGTAGCTGGAATTGAGGGCATGCACCACCACACCTGGCTAATTTTTCTGTTTTTAGTAGAGATGGGGTTTCACCACATTGGCCAGGCTGGTCTCCAACTCCTGACCTCAGGTGATTCGCCTGCCTTGGCCTCCCAAATTGTTGGGATTACAGGCATGAGCCACCGTGCCCGGACTAATAGGTTCTATAATTGTAACAATTGTGTTATACTGACATAATAATATCTAGCTACATATAATTATGTCGAGTGGTCTAAATAAAGTAAATTTTACCATGTACCAAAAGGGCTTTCAGAGGTCACGTTTGGATGATTTCCTTCTCTTTTATTCTGTTCCTTGTAGCTCCTTACAATATCTTCTCCCACAAGACTCTACACAGATGTTGCTACCCTTGAAGAGTAAAACTCAAGGGTGTATCTACCTTCTAATAGAAATCAACAGGATTAAAAAAGCCATTAATGTCAGTTATATCTTAGTCTTTTGCAAAACAAAAATTGCAGTTGGAAAGTAATGCATTTTAAAATACATGACTTGAAGGTGGTAGGTTTGATTTTGGTGAGGAGATCCTTGCTCTGCTAGGGAGGTCTTTTACATCATCCCATGTGAACATCGTGTTTTGGCACTCAGCAGTTCACACTCTGAATACACAGAGGACTTGGCTTGTTGTGTTAAGCTGAATGTTACTGCACATTTTATGAAAGATATACAAAGGGTCCCTAGTGCACAGTTTTTGGCTCATAATTGATCCTGAAGGAAATGTTGAAAACTGGTGTAAAAAATAGAATTTATTCTCTTTGTTACTATGCTCTGAAAAGCCTAAAATGAGCTTCTTAGTCATATATTATAAAATATGAGCAGGCTTAGCTCGACTTAAGGTGTTGCTTAACTGTGGCATTCCAAGCTGAGACTAAAATTTATTTTGCCTTCAATTGAGATACCTGTAGTCCTGATACCTACCTGTAATTACGTCTTAAAGGGTTCTCTAAATGTGGACTTCTCAGTTGAGATATAACTAAAAATCTCTAAAACTACACTAGAAACTGAGAACTCTTTGTTTTTTCGATAGAGTCATCTTTCATTTATAGAAGGAAAATCTCTGAACAGTATATGCTCAAAGAACTTGAGATGGTCTGCTATTGGCCTGCACAGGCCCCAGAGAATGGCCCTTTTAAAATATCTGAGTCAGTCATTTCTCTGTGCATTGCTTCAAACCGGTCTTCCCATTTCCTGTCTTGGTCTCTTCAAGTCCGTTTTTCATCCTACAGCCAGAGAGAACATTTTTAAATGAACTCAATTATGTCACTTCCATTTGTAAAACCATTCAATGGCTTTCCAATGCCCACAGGCTGAAGTCCAAACTTGTTACTGTAGCCTGTTACTATAGCACATGCTTGCCCCACTTCCAGCTTCGTCTCCAGCCACTCCTCTCTGTGCATTATGCCAGCAAACCACAAGAAACTTCTCCAGGAGCAGGATGTGCTCACTCATGACACTATCACATGCTAGCCTCTGTCTACTACACTTCCAACCTCACCTAACAATTCTGACCCATCCTTAGATATCTCTTCCTCCAAGGAGCCTTCCTGGATGGCAAAGTCAAGACGAAATCCACCCTTTGATAAGGTATGCCCAGCAGCCTTTAGCTCAGGCATTTCACTGCACAAGATCCACTGTTTTTGAGAGCTTATTATCGTTAACACAAGTAATTCTATAGTATTATTGATTTTTTAGTTTCACTAGAGGAATAAAGAAAATAAACTTCCTAATATTGATTTAAAGAAAAGGGAAGAAGACTATAAAGTAATTTGAATTAGGTAACTTAACATCCTTTGTATTGAGTATTAACCACTACTTCCTTTATGGAGATGTTGCAATGTTTTCACTTATCTGGAACCAAAGAGTTTGACCTGAATATTATTATAAGAAGTATTCTTGATAATATTTTCCTGCTACTTCATGCAGCTCCCACTGCATGAATCCTCCATATATTTGCAATGAGTAATGATTTATAAATTGTTCTGGGGAAATTGTTACCTCCATACAAACAAAAATAGAAAGCCAATTATTAAAACCCAAGAGCTTCCCACTGACTATAGGGAATAAACCAACAAAAACAGGATGTGAAAACAAAGCCAGCCCTCTCTCATTTCCTTCTTCAATCACAGCTAAAAACTGTGGTTCATTTGTCTTTATATCCCTAGACTTAAGAGTGCATAGTAAATACTCAATAAATTTTGAAGGAAGGGGAATAAGGGAGTTAGTTAAAAGCTTATCAATTTTAAGATCTCTCTTGAATCACAATCATAAGGTCTGGGTAACTGTGTATGTCAAAATAGTTTTCCCGAGGCAATTGTCATAAGTATTTGTGCAATTCTTTTCTCTATTATCCTCAGTGAGGGCATTCCAACACAACAGCTGAGATAGCTGGGACTTGTTAATGGACTTGAAAACACGCAACCCCCCTGGCTGCTCATTTTTCCCCTCTAGAGAATGGGGCCATCATCATGGCATTCTCAGAGACATTCTGTGCAGTAAAGACTGGTGGTGGAGCTTAACCACGTAAATCCCACAAAGAATATTTGCTGAGATATTTAAGGCCTCTATGCTGAAAGTATTTATTGACAAATGTTTTCAGATTAAAGGAATTTGAGTCATGAAGGAACCATGATACTGCACCTTGTGAGGTATATGAAAAACAGATTCTCATAGCGGTGTAGTGCTTGCCAAATTATGACAAATGGTCTAGACTCAGAGATCATGTTCTAAATAATACTGGTACCTCCAAAGAGTTCTGGTCAATGGCAATGTCCAACACCATGTGCCAAATGTTAGCAGAAGTACCACAATGATGTGAGAACAGCACAGACAGAAAAATGCAAGAGCAGGGTAAGCAACCCCGTCTTTTGTTCACACTCTCCAAATTGACCCCTGCTTGACATAAGTGTGGGTGACATAGTTTCTCCTCTGCTACCACCTCCACCTCATTATTCTTATTCCATTCCCAGATAAAAGAAAGGTGGAAAAGACATCACCTGTCTCACCTGGCGTGCTCCAGCACAGCACATTATAAAATGAAGTTACATCCTTTACCCTCATGTACTTTGGTCTCTCTTGACTAAGAGATAAAAAGTTTGTTCCTTGAGAGCAATTATAAGCAAGAAACATTTTATTTTATTGTCATTAATTCCAAACACTCTTCATTTCTTTTTGTAGGTTCAAGGTTCTCACCTATATTTTATTCCTTCTACCTAAATAACTTACTTTAACATTTCTTATAGAGCATCTCTGATGGCAAAGATTTTTTTCAGATTATGCCTAAGATAGTATTTCTGCATTGCTTTTGAAGTTTATTTTCACTGGATATAGTACAGCATTTTTTCCCCAGCACATTAAAGACCGTGCTCCATTTTGTTCTTGCTTACAAGGTCTCTGATGAGAAATTAATTAGCTAATTTGCATTAATTTGCATGTTTACCCAAAATTGTTCTTGTAAGTATGGGGTGGAGATTCCTTTCAACTGTCTACATCTCCAGGGTGAATTTGGAATGTCCATCATGATTTTTAAAGGATATTTTCAATGGATATTGAATCCTGGGTTAGCAGATGGTTTTTGCATTTAATTTTTCTTCTCTAGTGTGTTCTATCTTGCATTGTGTTAGACAAGAAATATGGTGGTAACGATTATCTTTGTTCTTCTGTATATAATGTCTTTCTCTTTATGGCTGATTTTATTACTTTTCTTTCTTACTGAATTTTAGGAATTTGACAATAATATGCTGTGGTTTTGGTTTATAACGCCTGAGTCCATTGAGTTTCATGGATCACCAGATTTGGAAAATGTATGGCCATTATTTCTTCAAACGATTTTATGATTTTTCTGCTCCAATCTTCCTTTCATTTTTTTCTCTCATATTCAATGTATATGTATTATACTTAATATTGTCCAACAGTTTACATAGGCTCTGTTTATTCATTGTTCTCCTTTTTGTTTCTATGTATGTCTTTCTTTTTTCTTTTTTTGGTGAGTTTATATTATCCTGCCTTCCTGTTCATTGATCCATAAAAGTTTTATTCTACATATTGCATCTTTTAGCTCTAGATTTTACATTTGGTTCTTTTTTATGTGTTCAATATCTCCTAAGTACATTAATGTTTCTCTTCAAATCTTTGAATATAATTTTAATAGTTGCTTAATGTGCTTCTTTACTAATATCATCATGCCTTCTATTTTTGTGTCCATTTCTGTTAAGTTGTAATTCTCTTGTTTATGGATCAAATTTTCCTGCTTCTTTGCATTTCTAATATTTTTCCTTGTACATTAAATATTGCATATTCTAACATTCAAACTCTTTGGTGTTATTTTTTTTCCCTTCAGGTTTATTGTAAATCAGCTTGAGAGTCCCAGGGCTTAAAAAAAATTGGTTCTGAGTAGCCTTCAGTGTGGGGCTAGATTAACCTTAATCCTGTGGTATAAACTTTCGGGATTCTCTTGTGGACTACCAAGGTACTTAACAAGGTTTCTCCTATCTGCCTGCTTGGAACTTGAACATCATTTTGTGCAAACTTTGTTTTTCCATTCACAGCTTCCCTGTAGCTGTTTTTTCTCTGATGCCTTTTTTTCACCTGACCTTCGGATCCTGACCTGTACAGACATAGCACAATACTAGAGGAGATCCTTATGCAGAATTCTGAAGCCTGTTGCAAATCCCAGCTACCTCAATAGCTCCAACCCCTGATTTGTCCTCCCAGCTCAGAAACCTTACTGTGTTTTCTTCAGGCTTCCTGTCCCAATACTGCCATCTGGGAAGTGCCTCCAGGTAGAACTGAGATAACCATGATGCTCATATTGTTTGTTTCCTTCTTTCAGGGATCCTAATCCTGTACCACCTGTTATCCAATGACTGAACACAGTTATTTTATATATTTTGCCTATTATTCTAGTTGCTTGTGGAAGGAATCCTTGCCTCTTAAAATTTACTCAACCATGGCCCTACATAGAGTGTTTGATTGCCTAAGGCATTGCATCTGTTTGCCTGATGCTCTGCCTTCTATTGGTATGCGTGCTTCCTAGTGTGAAAATAAATCTATTAATTAAAAAAGGGTCAATCTGGTTTTCAGATCATGATTTCCATAAATTCAATATAAGCTTATCTTTATCCATTGTATGCCTTCTATTAACATATTTTTCAATTATTTTTGCTCTATCATCTTTCTATCCACAAGGATTTCAGAAGGCATAGAAACTTTCTGTTATGAAAACAGAAGAAGCAGAAACACTTGTAATAACTTTCTTTCTTCTTCCCTAGGCCTGTGTGGGTTTTCTTGAAATAATCTTTGGAACTCCCTGTTAGTGCACATTATTGTTCCATACCCCTTTCTTTGGTTTATTGAATGCTTACATTACGTTTGAAGCTAGATAAGAGATCAAGTCAGCTGATTAACTTTGCCGAGCGGTGGGCACAGAGGTAGCTTTTCTGAACTAACCATAGAATGCTTAGAGTTGAAGGATGAATATAAAAAGTGCTAAAAATAGATTTTTTTTGTTAAAAAAAGCATGAATAAAATATTCTCCACAAATGAGGAACAGCTAGTACACAATGGTGCATGGCACATAGATAACATTTAAGTAATACTTTTTTAATGGTATAGGAAAAAATAATGAATCTGAATCTGGTACAGAGAGCTAATTGTAGTTTAGCTACTCAGTGAAGAAAATACAAGAAGCAGAGGCTTAGATGGTTAAATAAGCGATAGTCTAACTCCAGAGATGAGGAGTCAATACTCATAGTAATAATAATAATAATAGTAGTTCACACGTACTTAGTGCTTAAGTTAGAAGTAGCACAGAGTTAAGTGCTTTAAAATTTTTCAAATATTGTATGTTAAGTGTTTCACTTAGTGAAACCTAGTTTTGATACACATATCTTTATTTGATTTGTTAATTCCTTTGGGGTCACTAACATTAGCATCATTCTCATATTACAAATAAAATAACTATCCAAAGAAAGTTGAAGTTTCAGTAATTCACGTAAGGTCACCTACAATTTGTAAGAGATGCAACTGAGGATTCAGTTGAGCCAAGCCACACAAAAGTCCATGTTTCTAACCACTGTGCTCTACAGAATTCTATGTAGTTAGGGCTTTTTTATAAGCTCCCCATCTGTCTTTGTGGGTGACCAAAGCCCATTTAAAGGCCATGAGAGGGATGGTCTGGACACTCTGGTTGCCTCTTTTCATCACGCAGTTTACAGCTCTCCCTTGTCCCCCTCCTTTCCTCCCTCGATCCATATCTCATCAGCTAGTCTGGGACAACTGTCTCATGTTACTTTACTTGGCTTCTGCTATTGTATCAGCTCCTTTACACATAGATTGTATTTTAAAAGGGTAGATTCTGACAGAACCCTAGGAACCAATAAAAAATTAAACATGTAGCTAACACAGTATGCATAAAATTCAGCCTAAAAAAACACACAAAAACTCAACAAAATGCAAAGGAATGATTAGGGCACATCCAGTGTGCATGATCTCCACCATAAACAAATGGACAACTTATATAAATTCCATATTTAAAGGAAAATTAAACAATGATTGGAAACATTAATCCACAGCTATCTAAAAAATCCCTGTGATTTTTTATTTATGAACTTTCAATTAAACACAGCATAACTACAGCTTCAGAAGTAAAAATCCTCTTAAGCAGATGTCAAATGATTTTAATAAGATACTTCTGTAATTCATCTCTTTGCCATTATCAAAAGCACACTGGTAGTCTTTCTTTCTCAGGAATTAGATGTCCTGCATTTATCATAGATCAGTATGAATTCATATATTATTTTATAATACCTAGTTTTAGAATTATTGAATTATTACTTATTCATCTAGTTCCCTACTGGTGGATATTCAGCTCACTTACAGTCTTTTGCTCCTGCTTATAGTGCTTCATATGAGAAACTTCATATGCATATATTCTCCAGTATATTTGCCAGTTTGCCTTTGGTGTACATACTCAGAATTCGGGTTCCTTAAATTGTGATTCAGATGAAATTTTGCTGGATAGCACGAAATTCTCTTCTACACAGTTAACATTTTGTATGCGAGTTGCTGTTGTGCTCTAGCACAGATTATGTTGTCAAGCATCTGAATGTTAGCCAATTTGATATGAAAGAAATATCTCAGTGTAGTTTTTCCCCTTAAATTTTATCAAAGTTTAATATACATACAGAAAAATTCACAAAACACAAGTGTCTGACTCAATGATTTTTCATAAAATGACTATGGATGTATAATCAGCTTACAGTTAAGAATTAGACATTGCCAGCCCTTCAGAAGCCCTACTCAGGAATTTTATCCGCCCGAAAGTAACCATTATGTTAACGTCTAAAACCCTCAGTTTGATTTGCCTATTTTTACACAATTACCTGAATCAAATTGTACAGTAAATGCTCTTTTATTTACAGTTTCTTTTCTTGAGGGGGTTAAATGTTGTTTTTATGAGATTTACTTTTGTTGCAACATGTAATAATAGTTTGTTCTCATTTCTGTATAGCATTCCAACATATGAAAGAATCGTCATTTATTTATCCTATTTTTGTAGCATTATAATGTATCTGATTTTTGCCTGTTATAGATTGCTGCTATGAACAATCGTATATAATGTTTTCTTCTGAACATATGCATATATCTGCACAATTTTTATAAACATTTGGCATTACATTTTAAATTACCAGGCATCCCAAGATACAGGATCATATGACTGAAAACTAAGAATAAAATGAGACTACAAACAAATTCACAGATGATACAGGTATTATAGTTAATAGAAAATAATTTTAAAAAGCTATGAATACAAATAGTGGAAAGATGGATAAAATATTTAAAATGGAGAAATTTACCATGTAATTGAAATATATAAACAAATACAGTTTTGGAAATAAAAAAGAACTCAACTAATGTGTTTATCATGCTACTAGACAACACAAAAGAATTTATTATTGAAGGAGAATATAGATCAATCAAATATGTCCAGAATAGAGCACAGAAACCAAAAGAGTAAAGAGAATGTATTTTACTGACGTTAGTTACAGAAAAGCATGACTACCATTAACACCTACATTCAACATTACACTTCAGTTCTAGCCAAAATACTAAAAAAAGAATGAAATAAGAAATTTAAAGACTAGGGAAAAAAACCTCATCGTATTTCAGATAACATAATTGAGTACATAGAAAATTCAAAGTAAGCAAAAGGTAAACTCGGGTTTATCAATGAATTTAGAAAACTTGCTGGACATGATATCAACATTAAGTACTTTTCATGCACTAGCAACAAATACAAATGACAAAATATCACAATAATATTGGAAAACATTAAATACTTAGAAAGAAATGTTATTAAATGTATATGGGTCTTCTGTCTTGAAAACTATATAACAGAGATTACATAAGTAACAAATAAATGGAGACAAATAACATCTTTAATAATTAGAAAACTTAAAATTGTAGATATAAAAGATTTTCTCATGCTGATCTATATAATTTAATGTAGTCAATCCCACCCAAATAGCCCAGCAAACATTTTCTACAGGAATTTATAAGCTAATTTAAAAATGCATGGGAATTCACAGGGTTCAGAATAGCCAAGAAAATCTTGAAGACACAGAAACTTACCATATCACATATATTAAATAATTTATTGTGATAAAAGCCCCCCAAAATAACATAAAATTTACCATCTTAATAATTTAAGTGTGCAGTTTAATAGTGTTATGCATACTCACATTGTTATGAAACAGATCTTTAGAACTTTTTCATCTTGCAAATCTGAAACTCTATACCCATTAAATAACAACTCATTTTTCCCCCCTTTCCTTAACTCCTGGTAACTACCATTCTATTTTTTGTTTTTCTAAATTTAACTACTTTAGAAAACTTACATAAGTGGACTCATACAGTATGGGTATTTTTGTGACTGGACTGGGTTATTTCAATTAGCACAATGTCCTAAAGGTTCAGCCATGTTTTAGCATATAACTAAATTTCCTTCCTTACTAAGGGAGAATATTGTTCTTTTGTGTGTATACACTGCATTTTGCTTATCCATTCTTCCATCAAAGAATATTTGTGTTGTGTCTGCCTCTTGGCTATTGTGAATAGTGCTGATATCAACATGAGTGTGCAAACACCTCTAAAAAGAAGAGTGCTTTAAGGTCATGTCCATGGCCTCAGTAAAGGTATAGAACATGATCCCTGTCCTATACCTACATTTAACTTTATAAATTTAAATATATAAATTTATAAATAAATTTTCCACTTTATTATTGAGGTAGAATACAGATCAATAAAAAACGTGGGGTGCAAACACCTTACTTTGAAATATTTTGGATATATACGCAGAAGTGGGATTGGTAGATTATATGATAGGTCTATTTTTAATTTTTAGGAAAACCTCCATATAGTTTTCCATAGTAGCTGCACCATTTTCCCATCAGCAGTGCACAAGGGTTCCAATTTCTCTACATCTCCACTGACACTTGTTACTTTCCATTTTTTGATAGTAGCCATCCTAATGGTGAGAGGTGATATCACATAGTTTTAAAAGTGGTGGTATAAGAAAGTGTGACCCTGGCTCAAAGAAAGACAAGTAGGTCAATGGTTTCTTAATAAAGAGTTCTGGAAAACATTGATCAATATAGAAATATTAGCTTTAGAACAAAGGTAATATTGTGACGTAGTAGAAAAAGTGTTCTCTTGTATGTGGGTTCGATTAAGTACACATAAGGAAAAAAAATGAATCATGACCCCTGTCGTGTGCCAAATATATAAGAGTCACCAATCCCAGATAGATTGCAGATTTAAACACAAAACTTTTAGAAAACCTAAAAGAATAAATATCTTCATGATATTGGTTTGGCAAAAATTTCATAAATAGAATTTATAAAGCAGTAGCTATAAAAAATTAATAATTTGTTTTAATTCTAAATTAGAAACTTATTTATCAAGAGAAAATATTAAGATAACTAAGATACAAGACCTAACATGAAAATATTTGCATAAATGTATAAATGTAATAAAAATAAAAGAACAGAGTAGAGACTTGACAAATGACTGTAACTTCACCATTATTTGTTATTGGAAAAAATACAAATTATAACTACACTATAATATTACTAATATATGCTCAAAAATAGATACAATAAAAAAAGATGAACAATAGCAACAATAGTGCAGATGTGGCACAATTGGTCTCTTGTAGACAGCTGGTGGGGTTTATACAGATATAACCACTTTGGGATTCTAAATTTACAGTGCTTATCACCCTGAAATTCAAGCCTAACTTTAGAAGCAATATAAATGTATTTAGCGGATCACGGGGTCAGGGGATCGAGACCAACCTGGCTAACACGGTGAAACCCAGTCTCTACTAAAAATACAAAAAATTAGCCGGGCATGATGGCGGGTTCCTGTAGTCCCAGCTACTAGGGAAGCTGAGGCAGGAGAATGGCGTGAACCCGGGAGGCGGAGCTTGTAGTGAGCCGAGATCGCGCCACTGCACTCCAGCCTGGGCGACAGAGCGAGACAGAGCGAGAATCCGTCTCAAAAAAAAAAAAAAAAAAAAAAAAAAAATATATATATATATATATATATTTAGAAGACCAATTATATAAAATTTCATGTAAAAATATAGACAAGATTGTTCATAGAAGAAATATATAAGATAGGCAAAAAGGGAAACACTCAAATACCAATAAATAAAATAATTAAATTAGTTGTTATATATTCATAAAATGTACAGTGGTTATTATCAATGCATAACTTCAACCTCCAATAAAATGAACAAGCCTCAACAAAAAATAATATTAAGGGAAAGGATCCAAGAACATTTACATAAAATTCAAAAAGAGGTAAAGCATGTCTATGGTTATAAGTCAAGACAGGGGCTATTTAGAGAGGAGGTTGTAACCTGGACAGGGAGTGGAAAAAGTGGACTTCTGAAGCACTAATATTCTCTCTCTAGATCTTGGGAACTTTTACATGGTTGTGTTCACTTTGTGAAAATCGATAAAGCAGTTCACTTTTAATCTATATACTATTTCTATATCTAATCACTATTTCTATATCAGTGATACTTCAAAACAACTTTATAAAAACTAGAGAAAAAAAAAACAAGAAAAATTAGAAAAATGATGGAACCCAGGATAGAAGCATGTACAAGGGCAGTCCTACAAAACTGGGCATATAGACAACATAATAGAAGGAAAACCCAGGCTATAGGGGGAAAATGCCCACTAGAATTCTTATAATTCATTAACGGTATATTTCATATTTAACTCAGATCTCTATGATGATAAGGCCTCTTTTCACTTTAAAACATTAATTTTCTCCTACCATAAAATAAGGTCTTTTTATCGTTTACTTTTTTGGGTACATTGTAGGTGTATATATTTATGGAGTACGTGAGATATTTTGATAGAGGCATCTAATGTGTAATTATAACATCACGGTAAAAGGAGTAGCTATCACCTGAAACATTTATCCTTTCTTTGTGTTACAAACAATCCAATTATACTCTTGTAGTTATTTTTAAATGTACAATAAATTACTGTTGACTGAAATCACCGTGTTGTACTTCAAATACCAGATCTTACTCATTCTTTCTAACTACACTTCTGTACCCATTATCCATCCCCGCATCCCCGCATCCCCGCATCCCCGCATCCCCGCATCCCCGCAGCCAGTGCCTTTTCCAGCGTCTGGTAACCATCCTCCTACTCTATATCTGCATGAGTTCAACCGTTTTAAAATTTTAGGCCCCCAAAATAAGTGAAACATGTGCAGTTTGTCTTTCAGTACCTGGCTTATTTCACTCAACATAACGACCTCCAGTTC
Source organism: Homo sapiens (assembly GCF_000001405.40). Classification (NCBI taxonomy): domain Eukaryota; kingdom Metazoa; phylum Chordata; class Mammalia; order Primates; family Hominidae; genus Homo; species Homo sapiens. The sequence goes on along the minus strand of NC_000007.14, from coordinate 49,587,535 downwards.
TATCCATGTTGTTTTAAATGATAGGATCTTATTTTTTTTAAATGGCTGATTAGCGCTCCATTGTGTACATGTACCACATTTTCTTTATCCGCTTATCTGTTGATGGACATATTTTACTTTTTAAATGTTCTTCTATCAGATTCTGAATGGATGATTCTATGAAGAAAATTTGTCCTGAAAGCCCAAATTTTGCCAACTTATAAAGATATGTTTCAGCATTTTAAAAGTCCACATATAATTTTCAGTCTTTATTGCTATTAGGAAATTGTGATCATTAGAAATAAAAATTCTGGATACTTTGATAGGGAATCAAAACAGTGGGTGCATGACAAATAGAAATACAACAATATTTATTTAAAAATTTTTATTCATATATCTGAAGTTTTTTAGTTAAAAATATAAAATATATTTCATAAAGACTACTACTTTGAAATATGTTGTCACATTATGTTAAGCGTCATATAGTGATGATACTATCACTCAGGCTGTATTTCACATCACAAATTTAATACAATACAAATTTAGGAATTTAATTAATTTATTTATTTAAGACAGAGTCTTGCTCTGTCACCAAGTCTGGAGTGCAGTGGCATGATTTCAGCTCACTGCAACGTCCACCTTCCAGGCTCAAGCGATTCTCGTGTCTCAGCCTCTTAAGTAGGTGGGATTACAGGCGTGTGCCACCAGGCCTAGCTAACATTTGTATTTTCAGTAGAGATGGGGTTTCACCATGTTGGCCAGGCTGGTCTTGAACTCCTGGCCTCTAGTGATTCGCCCCACCCGGCCTCCCAAAATTCTGTGATTACACCGCACCTGGCCCAAATTTAGGAATTTCATATTAGTTTTTTTTAAAATAACATACATTACTAAGCTTTATACAAATTATGAACACCTTTCATAAAAGCAAAGTTATTCTATTTCTTAATAAAATAAATATTTTAATAGAAGAATCAGAAGAAAATATTTTTTCAACTCACTGAGAATAACCAACCTTTCCAGTGAGCCAACGGGAATTGTAGGGATTAAGGTGGATCTAAATCATTTGCTCTTCATAACTGAAGAGAAACCATACCGTAGAAGAGGCAAACTAGTGAGAAAACACATTTTTAACAATTGCCCAAGGCACAAAATCTATAAACTTGCATTCCAAGTCGCCTCCCATATGCAGATAATTCCAATTTCTGACACATAAGAAAATTATTTCTTGAATAAGTAAGTGAGTGAATGAGTGAATAAATGAAAAGTTCAAATCAGTCAAACTAGGATATAGAAATCACCACATAAGAGTGGCTGGCACTTCCAAATATCAACTTGACCTTTCTCCTACTCATACTGTTTTCAAATACCCTGGGGGCCAGTGGTTTTTAACGAATTAAGATGCCCCTGTTTGGGCAGTTTTAAGATTTTCAACTTTTTCCAAGGTAGTCTTTAGTCCTTTTTCTAATTATAACCAATCACGAGTGCAGTGTATATATTTTCCTGATGTATCATTTGATTATTTCTCTCATAAGCCACATTTTGTGTTTATATTCTCTTATGCACATATTTTATAATTTAAATTAAAGGTTTCAAGTGCAGTTTATGATTTAAATTAAAGGTTTCAAGCATTTATGCTCACATGGGTCTTTAATTTCCAAGAGTCTGCTTCCACTTTCATATCAGTGAGCTGCAAAATACAAGGAAAATGTGAACCAGAATCTAAGCAGAAACCCTATGTAAAAGTGAAGAAGCAAGCAGGAAACAAGATGTCAATCAGCCCTTATTGATTACTGCTCTGGTTGTTTCAGGCGATGTGCAGCAAGTTGTGTAGAGCTAATAATTCAGTGAGAGAGATAAGGTTTAAATGAAGGAAAGAACTGCAAAATCATGCAATGTATTTAAGAATATAGAAATCAATAACATACGTAAGTGTTCTTGTTCTCATAGTCTAGTGGAGAAATCAGACACGTAAACCAATATATCCAGTACCGTTTGCAAAATTCTATGATAAAATATAGACAAAAAGTTATTAGGACGCTGAGGAAAGAATGACTGACTTTTAATTGGATAATTCATTCACACAGCACTTTAGCATACTTTAATTGTCATAATTACTGCTAAAGCTGTCTTGGGAAAGGTCACCAAGCTCTTCTGTGGGTTTTCCCTCTCAAATGTAGGCTTGTGACTTTATAACAGGATATTCTTCTTCCTTCCTTGGTGAGGCAACTTCATTGGTGAGACCCATCTGGCATCTACCACCCTTTCTCTTGCTCTGCTCCAGGGGAGGAGGTATAGCTTATTCTAATTGGCATTTTTAGAGAGATTAAAGTGGGCATGCTGGTTTCAACTCCCCATTTTGCTCCAGGAAGTGCTTATAGGGAGCAGCTTTCTGTTTCTCCATTTGCTGTACCTGAGGAGGAGGAAGTCTTACTGACCCTGGAACTGTGTGTGCACATCTGCTTAGCTTGGGATGTCAGTCGGCTAGCCCATTTTTCTCTACAGTAACCATATTCTACATTCTCCCATTTAGACTTCCTCAGGAATAAAGACCTTATTATATTTGATGGCTATCTTATAATTAAATTTTTAAAAATTTAAATACAATCTCATAAGAAAAAAGCAGTGTCTTTATTGGATACTTCAACACTCAATAAAGCCACCTATAGGAATAATTGGACTTGCAAAAGAGCCACCTGAACAGTCACATGAACAGGAATGTTCTGCCTCACACCCTCTAGCACAGACAGCAGTGTGCCAGAAAGCCCAATTGTATGACCAGAGACAGAAATATAGGAAGGGAGAATGGGACAGAAATATAGGAAGGGGGAATGGCTCTCTGCTACTTCCCAAGGTGGTGGTCTTCTCTTGAGCTCAAATATCACACAAATTATGTATCCGACATATTGGTCTAGGACAGGGAGCCACACATTTTCTGTTAGACAGCATATTAGTGTTCTAGGGCTGCCATGACTAATAGCCACAAACCGAGTGACTTAATAGGAAATTATTTATTCACAGTTTTTAAGGCCAGATATTTGAAATCAAGGTTTTGGCAGTACTGGTTCCATGTGGAGGCTCTGTGGAAGAATCCATGCTGTGCCTCTTTCCCAGCCTCTGGTGACTTCTGCAATCCTTGGTGGTTTTTAGTTCATGATTGCCCTCCAGTCTCTGCCTCCATGTTCTCATGGCCTCTTCCTCTGTTTCTCTGGGTCTCAAATCTCCTTCTTCCTTCTCCTACAAGGATACCAAAGAGTTAAAATCTAACTTGAAACCAGTGTGGCCTTGACATCCTTAACTTAATTACATTTGCAGAGACCCTATTTCCCAATAAGATCGAATTCACAGTTATAGCAAGTTAGGAATTCAATATTTCTTTTGGTAGAAGGGGCACACAATTCAACCCAGTATGAATAGTTATACCTGTTATCAACTCATTGCCCTATGCATGTCTTTCTGAAATATATGTGTTTTCTGCATGTTTGTTTTTTCTTCCAGAATCTTTTGAAATAGATTGCTAATAGTGTAGGAAAGTTTTCTTATGTGATAGAGTTCAAATTAGGAAATTTGGATTTAATCTCATTTCACATTTGTATATATGATGACATACTTTAATAAAAATATTGCTGACTTTAGTATTGGCCATGTAACTGGGGAGATTAATAATATTTTGCATAATAAGTAAGTATGATTATGATTATTAAAGCATGTGACAGTACCTGATACATAGTACACACATTACATATTATGTGGGTGCGTTAATATGCAAATGTCCGAATCAATGAGCAATAGAGTGAATGAATAAAATAATGAGTAATGGGGAGAAAACCAAAGAGAGATCAACCAGTGACAGAGTTTATGTTAGTAATCCAGGATGAGGTGATGAGAGTGAGATAGGAGTGAAGGGAATGCAGTCGGACAGCTTCAATTTTCAAAATGTGTCATACAGAAACTAAGCTCATTTCATGAGTGTTGTGAGTGGCACAACATCAGACATAACCAGGTTCATGCACATTCGTGTCTTTCCACAAGGTCAGACTTTTAGTGATGCTATCTCAATCATAAAAGCCATGAGCTACATGGAATTCCCAAGGAAGCAATTTTCCTTAGTACCACCATTTCACTCAGTAGTCAGAGCTGTGGACACATAGTCTCAAGTCACTCCGCAAGACAGTCAAAGTTGCAAACCATATGTAGTAGTATACTTAATCAATGTATAAATGTCATAGATTAAGCATTCCACATCAAAGTAACATTTAAAGTCAAGAGAGAATAAAATAGGAAAAGGGATTAATGAACTAGTCCAAGAAGAGTAATGTGGACAAGGATAGTGTCATGGCTTGATCTGAGTGGGAGTCAATGGCTTCCAAGAAGAGTTTTTGATTTGGGCAGAACCTTTGACTGACAGATGGTGATCAGAAGTGACAGCCAGATTGGAGTGTATCAAATCAGCCATCATGAGCTGGTGAAGTCCTGCTCTTTTTATGGCCACAGAGTCCTCTGGCGAGGGCTGATGTCCAGTTATGTTTTTCTGTGGTTGGGTACAGCCTCTATGGATTAGGCGAACCTCTGGTTCTTGTTGGTATGATGCCTTTTGAAATGTAAGATGGACTCTTTTTTCTAAAATGAAATTACTTACGTCAAGGGTGCTCTATACAATGGGGAAAAAATAGGAAATAGATCAACTATGCCTTCAAGGTAAATCTAGAACAGGTAGATATTCTAAGACTGTTAACTTGTTGCTTGGAAATAAAACTATTGAGGGACAGTGATAAGCACATTTTTTTGACAGGGAGGTAACTGTGGGTAACCCTGGTAAATATTTTCTTTAAACCTTGAACATGCAGAATTATAGCATGAATGAGAATTTCAAACGAGCTTCGTGGGTTTGGCTTACCATTCACTGTCTATGAGTTGTATATGACGAAATTAGTATATACAGGCATTGGAGTTTAAAAGGATTATTATGTCATGTTATGTTACGTTATACTCATTATTTTTTATGTACTTAGGGGTAGAATGGAGGTGGTAACTCTCTTTTTATTCTCTGCTTTGGGCAACTAAAGGGCTGCAAGGGCATGGAAGGCACTGGTGGCCTGAGGTGTTGTAACCCCAGACCAGTAGGCACAGGCTTCGGGAGAATGAGCTCTTGGCTGTTTCAGTTCACACTGTTTCTAGTCAGTAAAGCTGATAGAAGACAAAGCATACACACATACTAGAATTTTCACCAACATAGATGACCAGAGTTAGTGGAAGAAAAAATAGATCATCAGTCACAGAATACCTTGAATAGCAATCTTGAGTTAACCCTTTCATCCATGACTCATTTTTTCCTTTATTCCTTGTTTGTGGCACAGACGACTTAAAATTCCTGCCTATATCTGCCATCAATGTGCTAGCCTCTAGTCCATGGGCGGTGACTTCCTTCTAATTATAGTTTATTTCCTGTGCATGGCTTATTTCCTTATTGGACTATTCGTTGCATGTTATGTGGAAAATGCCAGTTTACTCCCAGTGAAACTTGTGTCCAATTTGTTCTACATTAATTGTGCTCCCCTCAAGTTTGTAGTACAAAAACTGAAAAAAAAAAAAAAAACTACAGCAACCACCACTACTTTCTGTTTTTCTTCCCCATATTGTCTTGTTTATTTATGTCTTCATCTGGTTTAATGTCCTCTAAGTTGTATTTTTTTATTACTGTCCTTGAATGTCCCCCTCTCACTACTGCCCATCGATACTTTCTCATTAAATAAGAAATGCTTGATGAGTTACTACATTTAACAGGTAAAATATAGCACACACAGTTACATTTGAATTTTAGATTAAAAATGGGCAATTTTCTCTTCTTACATTTTATTGATAATCGCTGTGGCTTTGGAATGAAGGTGGCAGTATGAGTATACAGATCTGTTTTGTCCAGCAATCTTTGGTCACATTTGCTTGTTTTAAATTTCAGTAATTGTCGCTATGTGTTGAATGGGGAAGTGATGTGAGATGTGACTTTCCAAAGTAACAGTGAATGGAAGTCCAATCTGATTAAGATTTTGTTTAACGGAGTTTCCAGTCACATAAACAAAACCCCACAGACTGCAAGGCACCCATGTCCCTTCAGCTCCAGCTCCTTGACAATGCCTGGCACCTGCACAGCATTCTGGCTTGACTTGCACAGCAGCATACTTCGTTCTCTTCAGGATATGCTTGTAGCTCATCACATATTTCTTTTGTTTGCCATGTTCACCCAGTAGTAAATGAGACTCAATGCCATTCCAAAGAATGGGGAAAGGGGAAGCTCCCCGTTTTGTGCTTATAAAATAGAGAGGCACTGAATAAAGTCCAAAAATGTCAGTTCTTTAACAAAAGGTGCCAGGCAGGGTATATCCAGGCTCTGAGACACCTGATACTTACATAATTTGAAGCCATTTTGAGTAAATGCACACAAAATTATGAATACAATTTAGAAGAGAGAATGAATTTTCTCAAATGCCTGCTTTTTGTTGGCATTAGAGAAACCTAGCTCATTTATATTTCTTAGGGCCTCTCCATCAAGTATGTGGGTACTTTATGACTCATTAACTTTTCTTCCTCTTCTTACTTCCTAGTTTTTTCTTAGTATGATTAATTGATTGATTGCCTAATTCATCAAAAACTTTCTGACGTTCTCTGTCAGAAAGAATGTGCTAGGCACTGTGTTGCATATATTTATAGAACATTTATTAAGTACATACTATGTGTCAAAGTCTGCTGTGTTTTGTAGGTGTCATTTTGTGAAACCCTCACCATAACCCTGAAGGAGTTTATACTGTCATCTCCACTTTGCAGGAGAGAAAACTGAGGCAAGAAGTTGAAATATTCGGCCAAGATAACATAGTAAATGGCACAGTTGGGATCACAGCCCGAGCAGTCTTCATCCAGACTCTGAGTATAATCCCAGGACACAGTCTCTGGCTGGCTGACCCCCATGCTGCGAAGAGGCAACGTCCCTTACCTCCAGGGAGCTGACAGTTTTCTGAGCTCAGAGTTGTACACATGACAACTAAATCAGCAGATGCCATGGCAGAGAAAAACACGGTACTCTGGGAGGGGTGAGGGATTGGGTCTGTTACTCCCACCTGAATTAAGCGAGATTTCAGAATCGAAAATAAAGCCTATCAGTCCTCTTTGGTAGTTATACCGCAAAACAACCCCCTCATCACTTACTTCTGGCTCGGGTTGCGTTTCTGAGCCAGGGCATCAGGGGCCGCCCCGGGACTGCGCCCTTCCTAGAACAACGGTGGGGCCTTGGGGCCGGGCAGGCTCCACCTCAGCCGTGGGGGCGCACTTTCCTCACCCAGCGGGTACTGAGGACACCAGCCGGGAAGGGCAGTGCCTCCCGCGGCCCAGACATGTGCTTAACAGTGAGAACAACAGCGAACACGTGGGATTTGCACATTGAGCAGAGGTTTTCACCAGAAAATGCAGCAGGTGAATCTACTACCAAAATGCCAAATTAAAAACTTGTTAGAGTAGAAATACAGGTTTGATATGAATTCCTTTTTCATAGAATCTCCTTGCCTGAGGCTGGCCGGACTAACCACCGGAGAATATAGTTTAAAAAACCTCTTGCAGATGGAGAGGGCGGTTCCTGGGTGCCAGCCACGCAGGTCGGTCCTCAGGGCTGCTAACTGCTCATTTATATTTCTAGTTCATTTATATTTCTTAGGGCCTCTCCATCAAGTATCAAGTAAGCTCAGCTCCGCGTCCCTAGGGCATTTTGGTCCTGTCCCCCAGGCCCTGGTTTCTCTAAGCCCACACCTCTCCGGAAGGGGCTGGAGGAGTGGCATGAGGAGCTAGCTGCCAGTCATTTCTCTTACTCACCCACTCCCAGAGTTTCCCTGGACTTAGACAGGCGTTGAGCTACACAGAAACTCACTGCTGTGGCCATTTCTGAGATCGGCTTGTTCCCCGTGTCGGGCGGCGACCAGCATTCGGCTGGGGAGTGCTGTGGCCTCAGCGGTACAGAGCCCTGCACCTCCCCAACTGTGGCTCTGGTCCTGTTTGCCGGCCTCTAAAGTGGGCAGGGAACCTCAATCCCTCAGTTGTGTTTTGTGGCTGCAGTGGAAGCACAGACAGGAGCACTAGCATTGCGCCTGCCCCCCGTGGGAAACGTGCTGCCGTCGCTGCTGCTATTACAACTACTGCTCATGTCAACACTGCTACTGCCCCTAGCAATAAACACAAAAAGCGACTGGCACACAGCCAGTGCTCTGAGGGCATGTGCCTTTTGTTGTTGTTGTTGTTGTTATATAAAGATACTAACAGCAAGTTTCTTAAACTCAGAATTTTGGGAATAGTTTTAACCCATATCCAATTTATGACAAAATTATATGAAATTGGGAAAATGCACAAGTAGGCTACAAATATTGTATTTCTTTAAAAATTATGTATTGCATTGACTCAAAATAATTACAGGATTTGAAAGTCTGAAGATTTTGGAAAAGGAGAGCCCCTAGGAAAACTGGCAGAGTTTGAGAGTTAGGAGAATGACATATGATCAGACTATAATTGCTGTAGCATCAGATCCCATGGGATATCATAGGTGATATTTTTTTTTATCTTTATCATAATAAGCAGTTAAGACCATTGAACTTTCTCATTGGAGACTGAGATGACATCTTTAGTGTATGTAGAGAAAGGAATTAAGGGTGAATAAAGCTAATATATGAGACTTTTGGAGGCTCTTAGATTGTTCCAGGAGAGGAGAGAGATCACAATAGCTTTGACCAAGATACTGATAGATGGATGGAAAAAAAGGAAGAGATTTGTTAGAAATAATATACCAGAACCTAATGATAGATTATAATTGAAAGATGAGATAGAGAGTGGTGTCAAAACTAGTTCTAGCTTTCTGAATTGCATAAAATGATGGATGGTGGTGACATTAATCAAGATAGAACACATTGGAAGTTTTTTTTTTTTCTTTTCAGGGAAAAGGTCATAAGTTTGATCATGAATCTAGATCATGAAGAGCCATCTAGCCTGGCAATATATCTTGATAAGTCTGCTGTGTAAATGTTGTAGTTAAAATCATGAGCATAGATGAGAAGTTCCAGGGAGAGAGAATATAAAGGAAAACTGTGAAAAACCAGTGGCAATTAGAATATTTCCTAACTCAATTTATCAGAGAAACCTAGTTTACCAAAAGAAATAGGTACAGTCTATCATTAGGAATGACTAAAGTATTCATTATAAGAAATTAGAAAAACGACGAACATAAGGCGAGTAATTCTTTTTTGACTCCTCTCCCCTTGAGTTCCAAAATTCTTGCCTGTTTTCAAATAATCCAAATAGTCCTATCATGTGTAGAAGGTGCCGCTTATGGTTTCTGTGAGTTTCAAAACCACTCTGACAACAGGTGCAGAGAGGCTTCAGAATTTCCACCCTCTTCATGACATGGAACTTCTGGGCTCAACACCTGGGGCTTACTGGAGCTGTTGGTATGGGGGAACTGAAAATTGGTACAGAGACATGGAGAATATTCTCTATCTCATTCTTTCTCTTCTTTCCTCCTATTGTAGCACACAGTTCTATTCCTCTCTTTGGAAGATTGTTAAAAGTGTTGAGGTAAGCAATTAGAAAAGTGGAGAGGGTAAAAGCTTGACTCCATCTTTCCCCTCTTGCTCCCCTTGCATCTTCTCTTGCAGAGGGAGCTGCCAGATGACAGAACAGAAGCTCCAGAGTCACCATGCATGGCCCATCAAGGTTGGAAATTGATGATACTCTAGAGATTAAACTTCTTTTATGTGGGTACTAAGTAAGTACAGCTGATGCAGGTGGCACAGAGGAGTAGAAAGCCTAGAGTCTAATTGCCTGAATTTGATAAACAAGATAAAAATTGTGACAGCATTTAGATGAGGTCATGAATCTACCACAAACCAACAAAGAAGCATCAGTGGATGTGAAAACAGCATGAAATATCTCAGGTGTCCAGAACCCTACATGAAACAGTGAACTCAAGAAATAAGTAGTGGATAAATGAAAGAATTAGTGAATGAACAATGGAAGATGCACCTCATTTCAGTTAATAGGAAAATTAATTGGATTGGGGGAGGAAAAACATGAAAAATAAAAGACTAGTTTCAACTCTTTCTTTCATATTGTCTATATTTCCCCAGAAATCTAAATTCTATTCCTAGCCATTAGAAAAATAGAACAATCTGTCATTGGTATACAGACATACAAAGCTTAATAATGACATCGTTTTCAAACATCATAAAGCCCTGACAAGTATTGAGGATTAATGTCAGAGGGTAGTGTCTTCCCAGCCATACACTTCGTATATTCCAGTTAGAATTCCTTATTTTTTAAAAATCATACTTTCTTACATCAGGCTTAGGAGACAGGCCTTCCATCTCCCCAGTTCTTGTTACCAGCCCAAAAGGGATCTAAGAACCTTTAAACTTGAGATCCTAATAATAAAGATATAAAACAAAAACATTAACCATAGTTCTAGTTAAAAAAATTATACTTTTTTTGGTAGTTTTAAACATTTCATTGATTTTGAGGCATACATAGCACCAGATTCTGGTTGAATATTTAAATATTCAAAGGCTTTATAATGGTTTGACATTTAACAAGTGAATATAATAGCTTCTAGTTTAAAAATACTGCTCTCCAGAAAAACAAGGGAAATGTCCTTGAAACAACTTACTGAAGACTCAATGATAAAAGAAGAGTGTGTCATATTATCATTTTAATATTTAGTTATAGCCGCTTATCTAGACAATGTATTGTCATTTTGCTAAAAAGAACGTTTTCATTTCTAGTGCCTGAACATTTTGAGAGAAAACTTTGTTGACATTCCTAAGCAAAGATATTGAGGTTAAGAAAAATGTAGAAAAAATATTATCTTAGAATTGGGAGAGATTGGAGCTGGGAGTTGGAAATACTGCTTTGCTTTGCCATCTGCTAGTTTTCCAGAACTTCACTCTAATTCCTGTTCACTAACAGAAAGCATGGAACTTGAAAAAGGAACCATGGCCTAAAACATAGGGTGCTTCCTTTTATTCTTAAGAAATTTGGAAAAGGGTATTAGAAGAGGCTGGAGTAGGAACAGGCAGCTCTGCAAGGCTGTCATTTTTAAAGGAAAGGATAAAATGCTAGTATTCTTTATTTCGAAACTGAATATATATTGTATATATGTATATACACATATATACACATATACATACACATATATATATACATATCTATCTATCTATATATATACACACACATATATTCACATTTGATTTTTTTCCCGACATAATTGCATTAGATGAAAGTTTCTGCTGGGTTAATTATGATATGAATTTAGGACTTATTTTTCATTCTTTATGCTTCAGAGTACCATGTTTAACACATAGAATATATGTAATTAGAGTCTCTTACTGTATAGGAAAATTGTTAATGCTTGTTGCTCCATTAAATTCACAGACATTGTAACAAACAGATATTGTAAGCCATGATTTATATATATAGAAACTAAAGTGCAGAGATGTACCAGATATACTTAAGGTTACACACCCATTAAAAAGAAACACATCCCCCTCACCCCGCCAAGGCTGGGCAAGATTGTGAATATGTATGAAGGTTAACATCCATCCCAACCCTGTTCCTGTAGGTCATTCTTACTGGCTCATATAATGAGCCCAACTAGTGGAATTTGCTTATGTCTCCGAATAGGATGCTAAAATGGAATGTAGGATTGGCTTAGTCCCCCGAGGCAAGAAGAGCTGCAGGTACTCTCACATCCCCAAATATGACTGATGCAATATGTGCAAAGACAATGGTCAAAAAAGAGTTTTGCAACCCATAATCTCATGCCCTCTGCAGGGATCAAAATCTTGAAACTGAAGTTATCAGAAGGGAGATTTCTTTGGTAAAATTTGCCAGTGTGCTGTGAGACCCATGTTTCTATCACCTCAAAGTTCTGAGAAGGATTCCAAGGAATCTGTTTGAAGAAAAGTAAACATATTTACTATGTTTCAGGGGACAAAGTAGAGAGGTGTCAGACTTATGCCTGAAAAATATCCACAGACAAAAGGCTGATTGAAGGGGCCACTGCATTCTTATCTGAGAGTCACCAGAAAAATCATACCCAAATTTCACCCAGGGAGCAAGGAAGACCTAGCCCTAACATTGGGTCTGATTAGGCAGTGTAGAGAAAGAATAAGGTTAATCCATGATTGTGTTTGTTAAGCTATTGGTGCACTGCCTTTACTTTCCTTTATTCTCCCTGACCTCATCTTATGCTTCCTTGCATAAAGATATTAAATTAAGGATTATATCCTTTAAATCAAAAGATAATCAGAGTGTTATATCTTATCAGTGATTTAGATTCAGAGATAGATTGCAAATACCCTACTTTGGTGCTAGTCTAGTAGGATAACATGTCACATGTACATACTCACTGTTGCTCATTGTTCCTTTATCTTTCTTCTAGTGCTTTCCATTTCTTCAGTTTCTGAGCTGATGGGTAAAAATAAATCTGGACCCCCTTTCATCACACAACATGTGCTCTCTCTAGACTTTAGAAAGACAAAAGGGGAACCATCCTGGGGCAGGTAGTTTACATCTACTTAACCTTGACAAATAGTATTTCTGCAGGTTCTGTTCTGCATGGTTCATCTGAGCCTCTAGAGGTAGTAATCATAGTACTGTGATTAACACACAGAATATATGTAATTAGAGTCTCTCACTGTAGAGGAAAATTACCAATGCTTCTTAACCTGGGTTTGGGGCCAAAGCTTAGATATAATGATATTTGTGTTTATCTCCCTCTCCCTTCCATTTTAAAGGGGCAGAAGTAGGATAGGATTAAATATTGGAGATTTTGGCTTAATATCTATCCATGTTTCAGAGAATGTATTGATAATATATCCCATTTATTATCTAATTATATTTTAAACCTTTTTACAGTGACTTACATATGGAAAGTTGGAAGAATTTGGTTTTGGTATTAGTTCATGATAATAATTCTGAAAGCCTATTATTTGGACAACACTGTCATTTGGTACATATTATACAATCTCATTTTGTAAATTGAGTCAAATTCATGATGGAAAATACAATTGGGATTACTTTTTTACCTTAATATCAGTGTTCTCTTTGTGCAGACATTTTAAAAATAATTTAATACATTGATCTGTTTCACAGTTTTAGGACATAAGGTCAATGAGCATTAAAGAAGCATGTGTGAAGATGGGCTAGTCCATCTAACTGACACTTAATGGATAGAAGAAGCAACATCAATGATTGGGGAAGCAGTTTCATGAAGGGCTGGACACTTATGTCTAGCATATTTAAGGAAAAGCAAAGGGGCTAATGTGGCTGTAAAACAATGTAGAGGGAAGTAGGAGATATGACAAAAAGTTAGCAAGGAAGAGATTGTGCCAATCTTTGTAAACCTCTGCAAGATGTGAAAAGGAGATTCAATGCCAGGTGTTAACTGACTCCAACTCATATTTTAGTGCGATCATATATCCACGGTGCTGAGAATAAATGAGAAGGAACATGAGTAAAAACAGGGATACCAAACCATTATAGTCATTTAGGCAAGGAATTGTGGTGACTTGGACCAGGTTATAAACACTGGGGGAGGAAAGAGGTGAAAATATAAACATATTTTGAAAGTACAGCCAACACTATTTCCTGAGCAGATGGAGTCAAGTGCAAGTGAGAAAAAGAAGACTCAATAATGACTCCACGATTTTTGCCATGATGAATGGAAGGATGAAGTTGCCATCAGCTGAAATGGGAGTGGCTACAAGTAAAGTATGTTTAGGATTAAATTTCAGGATTTAATCTTTACATTAAATCTTTAGAATTTTTAGAAATACTATTTTTGATATGTCTATTTGATACCCAATGGAAATGAAAGTATTGAGTAATTAGGTAGATATGTGAATCTGGGGTCAGGAAAAATCACATATGCTCTAGAGATAGAGTGCTGTCAGCATAGATAGTATTAATTAATTATTTTGACTTTAATTAAAATTTCTGAAACTTGTTTAATTGTACATGTATATCATAAGCAGTTTCCAAACTGAAAAGTCATATTTATAATAACTGTCAGAATATCATCAGAATCCAGAATATCATCAGAATCTACACATCATGTGCCTCCCAGTCCCACGACCCTCCACAAAATAAACACTGGCCCAGCTTTTAACGGCACATATGAATTTCCCTTGTTTTGTACTTACCATACAAAATTCATTCTTTTGTGTCTGGCTCCTCTTGCTCATTATCATATTTGTTGTAGATAAGCATGTCGTTGTAGTTGTAACTCATTCATTCTCAATAGTAGTCTATTGTAATAATATAACACAATTGGTTTTTCCATTTTATTTTTGTTGGGTACTTTGGTGTTTTTCAACTGTCTTGTTAGGTTGTATGTTTCTAGAAAGTCACCCATTTTTCTAGATTATCCAGTCCATTGCTGTATAGTTATTCACAGTTTGTCTCTTATAATCCTATTTATATCTGCAGCATCAGTTATTATGTCTCCTTTTTCATTTCTGGTGTTTGTTGTGTAAACATTCTCTCTTTTTTCTCTAGTTCATCTACCTATGGGCTTGTCAAATTTGTTGATCTTTTTAAAAAAACACTTAATTTTTCTGTTGTTTTTCTATTCCTTATTATTCTACCCTAATCTTTACCTTCTTCGTGTTGCTGACTTTTGGGTTTTTTCTTTTTCTAGTTTCTTGAAATTTAAAAGTTTTTTTTTTTTTTTTTTTGAGATCTTTCTTCTTTTTTAAAGTGGTGTTTACCTCTATAAATTCCCCTCTTAAAAGTTTTTTTGCTGCATTGGTTTTGGTATGTTGTGTTTTAATTTTCATTTGCCTCAGGATATTTTCTAAGTTTCCTTGTGATTTATTATTTTACCCATTGTTCTTGTTTAAGAATATGTTGTTCAATTTCTATATATTTGTGAATTTTACCATTTTCCTTTTTCTTTTGATTCTTTTGCTACTGACTGCTTTGTGGTCTATAAAGACTCTTGGTATAATTTTGATCTTCTTAAATTTGTTAAGACGTTTTTGTGGCCTCCCATATGACATATCCTGGAGAATGCTGAATGTGTACTTGAGAGGAATGTGCCATTTTGATGTTGTTAAGTGGAGTATTCTGTATATGTCTGTTAGTTGCAATTGGTCTATGGTGTTTTTCAAGTCTTCTGTTTCCTCACTGATCTTCATAGTTTTTCTATTCATTATTAAAAATGTGATATTAAGATCTCTTACTGTTATTGTTTCACTGTCTATTCCTCTCTCAAATTCTGTCCATGTTTGCTTCATGTATTTGGATGCTCTGATGTTAGGTGCATATATATTTGTAATTGTGATATCTTCTTGATAAATTGAACTTTTTGGCATTATATAATGTTGTTCTTTGTCTCTTGGAATTATTTTTGACTTATATTCATTTTTGTCTGATATAAGTATGGCCACCTCTATTTTGTTTCCCATTTGCATGGAATATCTTATTCTGTCCTTTCACTTTTAGCCTATAGCCTCTGAGTGTCCTTATATAAAATGTGCTTCTTCTAGATCATTTCTAGGTGGATCTTATCTGTTGTTGTTGTTCTTTTTTCACTTACCCACTCTATGTCTTCTGATTGGGCAGTTTAATCCATTTATACTTCATACTAATTACTGATAGGGAAAGCCTTACTGTTGCCATTTTGTTGATTTGTGTATGTCTTGTAGTTATTTTGTTCTTCTTTTCTTCTTTTGCTGCCCTCCTTTGTATTTTGTTGATTTTTTTGTAGTGATTTGCTTTGATTTATTTTCTCAGCTTCTTTTGTGTGTCTTCTATAGGTATTTTCTTTGGAGTTACCATGAGGGTTACATAGAAGATCTTATAGTTACAAAAATCTATTTTAAATTGATAACAACTAAACCCAGATTGCATACAAAAACTCTACTCCATTTATATCTTCCTGTCCATTTTATATTGATGTTACAAATTCTATCTTTTTCTATTTTGTATCCATTAACTAGTTTTATATAGTGATTTTTATGCTTTTGTCTTTTAAATTTTATACTAGAATATTGTGATGTATATGCCACCGTTAGAGTATTACATATGCCTATATTTGTCTATATATTTCCCTTTCCAGAGACCTTTATACTTTTATTTTTTTTGTTTGTTTTTGTGTTTTTGAGATGGGAGTCTCTCTCTGTTGCCCAGGCTGGAGTGCAGTGGTGCGATCTCGGCTCACTGCAAGCTCCGCCTCCCGGGTTCACGCCATTCTCCTGCCTCAGCCTCCTGAGTAGCTGGGACTACAGGTGCCCGCCACCACGCCCAGAAAATTTTTTTTTATTTTTAGTAGAGACGGGGTTTCACCGTGTTAGCCAGGATGGTCTCGATCTCTGGACCTCGTGATCCGCCTGCCTCGGCCTCCCAAAGTGCTGGGATTACAGACTTGAGCCACCGTGCCAGGCCTATACTTTTATGTTTTTGTATTGCAGTCTAATGTCCTTTTATTTCCACTTGAATGGCTTTTTTTTTTCTTTCGCATTTCTTGTAAGGCAGGTTTAGTAGTGATGAAGTCCTCAGCTTTTTAAACTTTTTTCTGAGAAATTATTTTGCCTTCATTTTTGAAGGACAGCTTTGACGGATATACTGCTATTGGCTGGCAAGTATTTTCTTTCAGTATTTTAAATATATGCTCCCATGTCCTTATGGCATAAAATATTTCTGCTGAGAAATCTTCTGATAATCTTAGGAAAGCGCCCTTGTATGTAGTTTGTTGCTTTTCTCTTGCTGTTTCAAAATCCTCTCTATCTTTAATTTTGACAGTTTGTTTTAATGTGTTTCAGTGTGGACCTGTTTTAGTTCATCCTTATTGGAGCATTTGAACTCCTTAAAATTGAATTCTCATTTCCTTCCTCATATTTGTGAGAATTTTGGCCATTAGTTCTTCAAATAAACTCTCTGTTCCATTCTCTCTCTCTCTCTTCTCCTTCTGGTATTTCTATAATTCATGACTTGGTATGCTTGATGGTATCCCATAAGTCCTTTAGGCCTTCTTTGCTTCCCTCATTCCTTTTGCTTTTTTCTTCCCTGACTTGATAATTTCGAATGACTTGTTTTCAAGTTAACTGATTCTTTCTTCTCCATGATCAAGTCTGCTGTTAAACCACTCTGGTGAATTTTTCAGTTCAGTTATTGTATTCCCCATGTCTAGAATTCTTTGCTTTTTAATACGTTCCATAATACCTCTTTGTTGGTGTTTTCATTTTGTTGACTACTTTTTTGTTTCCTCAACTCATCAAATTTTGAATGCTTTTTCAAGTAATTTATATACCTCCTTTATGTTAGGGTCAGTTTCGGAAGATTTATCTTAATCCTTTGTTTAGCTCATATTGCCCCATTTCTTCATATGCCTTCTTAGTTTTTTTCTGAGATTTGACCATTTCATTATGGATGTTTGTGTCTTTGAAATTGTCTGGGATACTACAACTCTTAACTGATTTCTAGAGGTCTCATTAAGACTTTGTGGACCAGACATGGTAGTTAAATCAACGTCTCTGTCTGAGAATGAGGTTTTGGGTTTCCTGTTCTGCAATTTGCTAAGATCATTTCTTATAAATATTTTCTAACATATTAAGAAGGCTTCAATTTATTTCTAGTTTTCTAAATTTCATTTCTAGTTCCTTAATTTTATCAAATGCTTTATTGTGTGTCTCTGAGTATAATGGTATTTTGTCTTTATCTTTTTAATGTGATGAACTACATTGACTTTCTAATATTAAACCAACTGTGGAATAAATACCACTTAGTCATGAGGTATTTATAGTTGTATATATTGCCAAACTAAATTTGCTAAAATTTTATTTATTAATTTCACATCTATATTAATGGGAGGTATTTTCTGATCTTTCTCATAATTTCCTTATCCAGATTTGATATCAATTTATACTAACATTATAAAGCCTATTCGGTTTTCTCTGCTTTTACTCTTTTTATAAATTAAGCATATTATTTTTATAATTTAAAAATATTAGCCAGGTGTGGTGGCTCATGCCTGTGATCCCAGCACTTTGGAAGGCTGAGGCAGGTGTATCACTTGAGGTCAGGAGTTTGAGACCAGCCTGGCCAACATGGTGAAACCCCATCTCTACTAAAAATTCAAAAAAATTAGCTGGACATGGTGGCTTGTGCCTGTAATCCCAGCTGCAGGGCAGGTTGAGGCAGGAGAGTCGCTTGAGCCCAGGAAGCAGAGTTTGCAAGCAGCCAAGATCATGCCACTGCACTCTAGCCTGGGTGACAGAGTGAGACTCTATCTCAAAATAAATAAATTAATAAACAAATAAATAAAAATGAAAATAAAATAAAATAATAAAAATATTGACTTTTATTTTAGATACAGGGAGTACACATGCAGGTTTGTTACATGGGTGCATTGTGTAGCTGAGGTTTGGAGCATGCATCCTATAACTTAGGTAGTGAGCATAGTACCCAATAGATAGTCTTTCAGTCCTTACTCCCCAGTTAGTCCACATTGTCTATTGTTCTCATCTTTATGTCCATGCATACCCAATGTTTAGCTCCCACTTCTGGGAACATGCAGTATTCAGTTTTCTGTTCCTATGTTAATTACTTATGATTATGGTCTCTAGCTGGATCCATGTTGCTGCAAAGGACATAATTTTGTTCCTTTTATGTCTGTGTAGTATTCTATAGTGCATATGTACCACATTGTCTTTATTTAATCCACCATTGATGGGCACCTGGGTTGATTCCTTGTCTTTGCTATTATGAATAGCTGTGATGAACATACAAGTGCATGTGTCTTTTGGGTAGAATTATTAATATTTATTTTCTTTTAGATATAAACCCAGTAATGGGATTACTGGGTCAAATGGCACCTCTGTTTTAAGTTCTTTGGGAAATCTCCAAACGGTTTTCAAAAGTGGCTGAACTAATTTACATTTCCACGAACAGTGTATAAGAATTCCTTTTTCTCTGCCAGCATCTGTTAGTATTTGATTTTTTAAAAATAGTCACTCTGAGTGGCATGAGATATCTCATTGTGATTTTGATTTGCATTTCTCTGATGATTAGTGATGATGAGCATTTTTTCATATGTTTATTGGCTGCTTGTATGTCTTCTTTTGATGGATGTCTTTTCATGTCCTTTGACCATTTTTTAAAGGGGTTACTTGCTTTTTTGTTTGTTGAATTATGTTCCTCATAGGTTCTGGATATTAAATCTTTGTCAAATGCATAGTTTGCAAATATTTTCTCCCATTCTGTAGGTTGTCTGTTTACTGTGTTGATAGTTTCTTTAGTTGTACACAAGCACTTTAGTTTAATTTGGTCCTACTTTTCAAATTTCGTTTTTGTTGAAATTGCTTTTGGGGACTTAATCAAACATTCTTCCTCAAGAATAATGTTGAGAAAGGTATTTCCTAGGTTTTCTTCTAGGATTTTCACAGTTTGAGGTGTTATATTTAAATCTTTAATGCATGTTGAGTTAGTTTATGTATATAGTGAAAGGTAGGGGTCCAATTTCATTTTTCTGCATATGGCTAGCTAGTTATTTTGGCATTATTTATTAAACAGAGAGTCTTTCCCTATTGCTTGTTTTTATTGGCTTTATCAAAGATAAGATGGTTGTAGGTGTACAGCTTTATTGCTGGGTTTCCAATTCTGTTACATTGGTCTATGTGTCAATTTGTGTACCGATACTACGCTGTTTTGGCTATGGTAGCCTTTTAGTATAGTTTGGGTAGTGTGGTGCCCTCAGCTTGCAATTTTTGCTTAGAATTGTTTTGGTTATTCAGGCTCATTTCTGGTCCGATATGAATTTAATAATAGTTTTTTTTTCTAATTATGTGATATATGACATTGGTAGTTCAATAGGAATAGCACTGAATCTATAAATTGCTTTGAGCAGTATGGTCATTTTAATGATACTAATTCTTCCAGTCCATGAGCATGGAATGTTTTTCCATTTATTGGTGTTGTATCTGATTTCTTTCAGCAGTGTTTTGTAGTCTCTGTGAAACATTTCACTTCTTTGGTTGACTATTTTTAAGCATTTCAATATTTTATGGCTATTGCAAATGGGATTGCATTCTTGATTTGACTCTCATCTTGAACATTATCAGTATATTATTGGTGTATAGAAATACTACTGATTTTGTACATTAATTTTGTATCCTGAAACTGTAATAAAATTCTTTTTCAGTTCTTGGAATCTTTTGGCAGAGCCTTTAAGGTTTTCCAGGTATAGAATCATATCATTAATGAAGAGATATAGTTTGACTTCTTTTTCTATTTGAATGGCTTTTAATCCTTTCTCTTGTCTGATTCTCTTGCTCTGGCTAGAACTTCCAGTATTATATTGAATAAGAATGGTAAAAGAGGGCATTCTTGTCTTGTTTCAGTTCTCAGGGGGAAATGGTTCCAGCTTTTGCCCATTTACTGTGATATTGCTGTGGGTTTGTCATAGATGACTCTTATTATTTTGAGGTATGTTCCTTTGATACCTTGTCTGTTGAGGGTTTTTAACATGATGCTATGTTGGATTTTACTGAAAGCTTTTTCTGTGTCTATTGAGATTATCATATGATTTTTGCTTTTAAATCTGTTTATGTGCTAAATCATCTATATTGATTAGTGTGTGTTGAACCAACTTTGCATTCTAGCAATAAAGCCTTCTTGACTGTGGTGTATTACCTTTTTGATGTGCTGCTGGATTCAGTTTGTTGAAGATTATTGTGTCTAGGTTTATTAGGAATATTGGCCAGATGTTTAATTTTCTCATTATGTCTCTGATAGAGTTTGGTGTCAGGCTGATGCTGGATTCACAGAATGAGTTAGGAAATTACCCCTTCAACTTGATTTTTGGAATAGTTTCAGTAGGATTGGTATGAGTTCTTCTTCGTACATCTGATGGAATTTGGTTGTGAATCCATCTGGTTCAGGGCTGTTTTTAGTTGGTGGCTTTTTAAAATTATTCATTCAGTTTTGGAACTTGTTATTTGTCTATTCAGGGGGTTGATATTCTTCCTGGCTCAATCTTGGGAAGTTGTGTGTTTACAGGAATTTATCCATTTAGCTTTTCCAATTTAAGTTTCTAATTTGAGTGTATACATTTGTTCATAATTGTTTCTGAAAACCTTTTCTATTTCCGTGGGATGGCTTGTAATGTCACCTTTGCCATTTCAGATTGAACTTAATTGGATCTTCTATTTTTTTCTTTGGCAATCTAGCTAGCAGTGTATCAGTCTTGTTGATTCTTTTGAAAAAAGCTTTCATTACTCTTTGTGGGGATTTTTGCACCTCAATTTTGTTCAGTTCTTCTCTAGTTTTAGTTATTTCTTTACTTCTGCTAGCTTTTTTTCCCCCTAGTGTTAAGTCCAGAATTTCTTTGTTAGTTTTCAGCCTTGATAATCTGCCTAACGTTGTCAGTGAGATGTTGAAATCTTTTACTATTATTGTGTGGTTATCTAAATCTTTTCATGGGTCAAGGAGAACTTGCTTTATGAATCTAGGTGCTCCAATGTTGAATGCATATATATTTATGATAGTTAAGTCTTGCTGAATTACACCCTTTATCATTATGTAATGCCTTTCTTTGTCCTTCTGAATAATTCTTGGTTTAAGGTCTGTTTTATCTAATATGAGAATGGTGACTCCTCCTCTTTTTTTTGTATCTGTTTTCACGGTTCATGTTTTTCCACCCTTTTACTTTGAGCCTGTGAGTGTTATTACATGTGAGATAGGTCTCTTGAAGACAGTAGATGTTGGTTTTTATCTTTTGATCTAGATTGCCACTTTATATATTTTAAGTGGGGTATTTTGTCCACTTAATTTCAGGGTTAGTATAGATATGTGAGATTTTGATCCTGTCATTGTGTTGTATGCTGGTTGTTATGTATACTTAATTATGCAGTTGCTTTATAGTGTCTGTGGGCTATGTGGCTTAGTAGGTTTTTGTGATAGCAGATCCCATTCTTTTGATTTCATGTTTAAGACTCCCTTAAGAACCTCTTGTAAGGCTGGTCAGGTTTTAATGAATCTCTCAGTGTTTGCTTGTCTGAGAAAGTTTTTATTTCTTTCACTCATGAAGCTTGTTTTGGAAGGATACAAAATTCTTGGTTACAATTTATTTTCTTTAACAATGCTGAATAGGCCTCCAATCTGTTCTGGCTTGTAAAGGTTTAGCTGAGAGGTTGGCTTTTAGCCTGAGGCATTTCTCTTTGTATGTAATCTTACCCTCCTCTTAGCCACCTTTAAGATTTTTTTTTCTTATTGATCTTGATCAATCTGATTACTACACGCCTTGGTTATGGTCATCTAATATAGTATCTAGCTGGCATTCTCTGTGTTTCTTGAATTTGCATTTCAACCTTTCTGGCAAGATTTGAAAAATTTTTCATGGACTGTATCCTCAAATATATTGTCAAATTTCCTTACTCATTCTCCTGTCTCAGGAATGAAAATGAATCATAAGTTTGGTCTCTATACTTATTCTCACACTTCTTGGAAGTTTTAGTCATTATTAATTTTTTAAAAAAATTTTGTTTGTCTGAGTTGATTTGAAGAAGTGATCTTTGGCCTCTGAGATTCTTTCCTCAGTTTGGTCTATTCTGCTGTTAATACTTCCAATTGTGCTATAAGATTCTTATAGTGAATTTTTCAGTTCCAGAAGTTCAATTTTATTCTTTCTTAGAATTACTACTTCATCTTTCAGCTCTTGGATTCTTTTTAACTGGATTCCTTGGATTGTGTTTCACCTTTCTCCCAGATTTCAATGAGCACTCTTGCCATCCAGATTCTGCATTCTATGCCTGTCATTTCAGACATTCCAGTCTGGTTAATGACCATTGCTGTTGGTTTAGTAGGCTCATCTTGAAGTTAGGGGATACTCTGGCTTGTTGAACTGCCAGAGTTCTTGCCCTGAATTTTTTCTCATTGTTGGGGGAGGGGGCTGGTTTTTCTTTAACTGTGATGTAAGTTGAGTGTAGTCATTTGGTTTCATTTCTTGCTGCTTTCAGAGGCTCTGTATAGTATCTTTATGCGTGGGCGAATTCTTGCATTTGGTTTCACAGCTGTGCATCTTAGCTGAATAATTTTGGTGTTGTAGTTTGGACTGCAATCCAGTAGTTGGGTAAGAGTAATGGCTGATAAATGGGCACTTACTAAGCTATACAGCTCTCTTGTATTATTTCACATTCACAGGCGTGCTCTGCAGAGGATGGCCTGGGTGGGGGAAGAGGACCTTCTTAGCAGACCGACTCCTGGGCCATGTGGGGATCCCCCAATCATGGGCATCACATCCCTGTTGCTTTCGTGAGACGTTCCAGGCTGCAAGTCTCCCTCAGGCAAAGGCTGTGGCAGGGAGGTAGGCTACATCCTTTCTGGACTGGACTTGTGGAGTGAGGTACACTCTGCTCCTATGCTCACCCACTTAACACACACTTCTTGCTACCCTAAGTGCTCTGAGAGTAGCGGCTCCTATCCCACTTCAGTGCAAGCCACAAATCTTGGCTCAGCACTCCCAAGCTGTGCACTGCAGCCCTGGGGCCCTGAGATGGCCTGTAGCTTGGGGTTGGGCTCCAGCTGTTCTGGGATATCCGAAGTGCTCCCAGGTTGCTGGGAAAGTACTCGGATGAAGCAAAGCACTTACATTGTGCATCAGATGCTGCACTGTGCAGGAACTCCTATGGGGCAGCTCGGCAGGGGCCATGGGAGGAGCTGTTTGGCAGGAAGCCCTGCAGAACAGATGCATCTTTGTCCCATAGGGAAGTTGGCCTCATTTTTTCCTGGCCTGGTAATCAGCTAGGGGTAGAGCCTCTCAGAGGGAGATGGGGACCACTGTGGGATGGGTACCAGTGACCATGCTCCACCAGAGCTGCCCTGCACACAAAAGCTGCTGTGCCCCATGTTAGCTGAAGCCCTGTCTCTGCCTACTCCCCAGGCAGATGCCCCGTCAGCTCAGCTGTCAATAGGGAGTGTGGGGGCCCTGTAGCTGGGAATCTAGAGGTCCATGTTGAGAGTGGGCTATTCCTCTGTCCCCTCACTCACCACTTCCCCAGGAACTGTTCAGGTCCAGGAACTAGCCCTAGCATTTGGGTATCCCATGAAGGTTCCTAGCTTCCTCCCTTCTCAGTCTCAGTGTCACCTCTTCATTCACTTGGTGTTTTCTCTCTAAAGATATGCCTAATTTACGTTGTTTTACTTGATAACTTGGTCTTTCTTGGTGGGAGCAGCACTTCCTGTCTCTGCCTACTTTGCCATCTTGTGTGGCCCTCTCTCCTTTTTTTCTGGCAGGAATTTGTAGGAGATCATGAGTAAAGTTGCCTTGCCATGGCATATTCTTTGAGGGGAAGTTTTAAATTTAAGACACAAAAATATCATTAATAGATAATAGAATTATTAGAACTTTTCATTTCTCCCGTTCCCAATTATGATGCAATATAAGATATAATTATTTATTCTGGTAATACGATGGTATTTGGGCTTTATATGTAACACAGCAATAGCTTAGTTAAGCCTGACTATAATCATGCAGAATAATTATTTGGTGACATTCAGCATTCACTTATTATTTTAAAAAGTAGGAAGGCATTTATTAACTTCATTTAACAATATAAACCTGGGAATAAATGCCTGCAGTAAATATCATAATTAATGCAGAGGTTTTGAAACTTTCTTTTAATATAAAGCACAATGTGAGGCACTCTCATATGTTTGCTTAGCATTCTACTGAAAATCCTAGTTAATGTAATTATGTCAGAGTAAGAAATAAATTTATAAGCATCAAAAAGTTGTAAAAATATGTCATTTTTGACTATAATATTTAATTTTTGCCTATGTACAAACATCCAAAATAATGTAAAGACCATTGTCAAAGTTATAATTGAGCTTAGGACATTTGCTGGATTGGCAGTACATAAAATTCAGTTATATTTCTATATATTGGTAACAAAGAGAAATTATAAAATTTAAAAAATACAGTTTGTAACAGAAACAGAAAAAAATTAAGAAAAAAATCTCTCAAAAAGCACACAACTGTTGGGAAAAATGATAAAATATTGTTCAAAGTCATAAAACATTATTTAAATAAAAATAGAGGTATACCATGGACATTAATTAGGAAACTTACATTGTAAATAGATCTTGCTTGAAAATTAATTTATATCAGCAGTTTTTAATCTTTTTGGTCTGAATTCTCCTTTAAAGTCCTTAAAATTATTAAAATCCACAGATCCATTTTATTTGTTTAGATTGTATCTATCAACATTTACCTTATTAGAGACCTTAAGATATAAATTTTTAGCTTATTTTAAATGACAGAAGCCCACTAAATGTTAAAATAATAACAGAATTTATGAAAGATAATTATTACTTCCAAACAAATAATATAATGAACAGAGTGATTTTGTTTTTTATTTTTGGAAATGTCTTTAATGTCCAGCTGTATCATCAAAGATGTGGTTTGGATATTTGTCACCTCCAATCTCACGTTGAAATTTAGGTTGGGATCGGTAGCACATAACTGTAATCCTAGCATGTGTCCATTGATGAGCATGCAGGTGAGTTTCAAGGGTCCATGGTATCATGGGTGTTTTTCTCACATCGTTATTAGGGTATAATTAACAAGTAATAATTACATACATTTAGAGTGCAAAATGTGATGTTTTGATTTATGTATACATTTGAAATGATACAATTAAACTAATTAACATATCTACCACACCAGATCACAGTCACTATTTTTTGTGTTTGTATGACAAGAACACCTGAGATCTACTGTTTTAGCAAATTTCAAGTATAGAATACATTATAATTGACTATAGTCACCCTATTGTGCATTAGGTTTTTAGTACTTATTCATTTTATACCTGTTGCTTTATACCCTTTTCCCCTTAACCATTCAGCCTCTGATAACACCCATTCAAATATCTTATACTATATATTTATTTTTTCTTTTTATGTTTCTTATATAACTGAGATAATACAGTATTTGCTTTTCTACATCTGACTTATTTTACTTAGCATAATGTCCTCAAGGTAAACTCATTTATCACAAATGGCAGGATCTCTCTTATTTTTCAAGGCTAAGTAATATTTT
The DNA here is from genome assembly GCF_000001405.40 of Homo sapiens. Classification (NCBI taxonomy): domain Eukaryota; kingdom Metazoa; phylum Chordata; class Mammalia; order Primates; family Hominidae; genus Homo; species Homo sapiens. Next base: position 49,561,443 of record NC_000007.14, on the reverse strand, counting down.
TATATACATATATATACACACACATAATATATATGTAAAGGAATATATAACACATACATAATTGTCTTCATCCATTCATCTGTTGATGGATGCTTAGGCTATTGGTCTTTTTGTGAGTGGCTATTGTGAGTAACGATGCAATGAACATGGGAGTGCAAATATCTCTTTGAAACTGTTATTTTTTTCCTTTGATTACACACCAAGAAGAGGATTGGATCATGTGGTAGTTCCATTTTTAATTTTTTGAGGAATATCTATACTGTTTTCAATGGCTGTACCAATTTAAATTTCCAACAACAGTGTACAATGGTTCTCTTTTCTTCATACCCTGAATGACACTTGTTATCTTTTGACTTTTTAGTAATAGCCATCCTCACAAGTATGAGTGGATATCTTTTGGTAGTTTTAATTTACATTTTAAAGCCCACTCTCTCAGCTACCTCCTTCCCCAGACTTTTCCTTCCAAATATTTTCATTCTCTCTATTGCTTACCATGTATATCATTTCTTGTCTCATTTTCCTTTAAATTCATTCTGCAAACACCACTAAAGCAAACCACTTCCTTTCTGGGGAATCTTTGAGGCAGGCAAAACAAGGGCTATCCCTGGAGCTGATAGCTCAGGGAGCCACAAGACAGATCAAAACACACAATTATTTGAAACTAAGTCCTGCACGCACCCTCTGGTTAGAGCAACCTGCATAAAAAAGTGCTGACTGCCATCTTCTTGGCAACTGTCAAGCTGGGGATTAGAGGATGTAAGTGGGTAAGGAATGATACCACAGTGCTCTCTTATCGAAATCCAGCTGCTGCTTTCTTCATTCAACATTCCCCTGCTTGTTGTAAGTTTTGTTATTAGATTCTAGAATTCTAAAATATTTAATTCTGTTTTTGCCAACTTATTTATTGCTTTTGTGGTGGGGTGGTGTTCTCTAGTTCCCTACCTAGCTATTTTAGGTGATGTCACCTTTAACAAATAGTCTTTGGGACATCATGGCCTTCCTTATTATTTCAACTTGCTTTTTTAACATTTTTTTTCTTTTTTTTATTATACTTTAAATTCTAGGGTATATGTGCACAACGTGCAGGTTTGTTACATATGTATACATGTGCCATGTTGGTGTGCTGCACCCATTAACTCATCATTTACATTACATATGTCTCCTAATGCTATCCCTCCCCCCTCCCCCCCAACCCACAACAGGCCCTGTTGTGTGGTGTTCCCCTTCCTGTGTCCTAGTGTTCTCATTGTTCGATTCCCACCTATGAGTGAGAACATGTGGTGTTTGGTTTTTTTGTCCTTGTGATAGTTTGCTGAGAATGATGGTTTCCAGCTTCATCCATGTCCCTACAAAGGACATGAACTCATCCTTTTTATGGCTGCATAGTATTCCATGTGTATATGTGCCACATTTTCTTAATCCAGTCTATCATTGATGGACATTTGGGTTGGTTCCAAGTCTTTGCTATTCTGAATAGTGCCACAATAAACATACATGTGCATGTGTCTTTATAGCAGCATGATTTATAATCCTTTGGGTATATACCCAGTAATGGGATGGCTGGGTCAAATGGTGTTTCTAGTTCTAGATCCTTGAGGAATCACCACACTGTCTTCCACAATGGTTGAACTAGTTTATAGTCCCACCAACAGTATAAAAGTGTACCTATTTCTCCACATCCTCTCTAGCACCTGTTGTTTCCTGACTTTTTAATGATCACCTTTCTAGCTGGTGTGAGATGGTATCTCGTTGTTGTTTTGATTTGCATTTCTCTGATGGCCAGTGCCATTCAACATAGTGTTGGAAGTTCTGGCCAGGGCAATTAGGCAGGAGAAGGAAATAAAAGGTATTCAATTAGGAAAAGAGGAAGTCAAATTGTCCCTGTTTGCAGATGACATGATTGTACATTTAGAAAACCCCATCGTCTCAGCCCAAAATCTGCTTAAGCTGATAAGCAACTTCAGCAAAGTCTCAGGATACAAAATCAATGTACAAAAATCACAAGCATTCTTATACACCAATAACAGACAAACAGAGAGCCAAATCATGAATGAATTCCCATTCACAATTGCTTCAAAGAGAATAAAATACCTAGGAATCCAACTTACAAGGGGGTGTGAAGGAATTCTTCAAGGAGAACTACAAACCACTGCTCAATGAAATAAAAGAGGACACAAACAAATGGAAGAACATTCCATGCTCACAGATAGGAAGAATCAGTATTGTGAAAATGGCCATACTGCCCAAGGTAATTTATAGATTCAATGCCATCCTCATCAAGCTAGCAATGACTTTCTTCACAGAAGTGGAAAAAACTACTTTAAAGTTCATATGGAACCAAAAAAGAGCTGGCATTGCCAAGACAATCCTAAGCCAAAAGAACAAAGCCGGAGGCATCACGCTACCTGACTTCAAACTATACTACAAGGCTACAGTAACCAAAGCAGCATGGTACTGGTACCAAAACAGAGATATAGACCAATGGAACAGAACAGAGCCCTCAGAAATAATACCACACATCTACAACCAAACAAAACCTGACAAAAACAAGATCTTTGACAAACCTGACAAAAACAAGAAATGGGTAAAGGATTCCCTATTTAATAAATGGTGCTGGGAAAACTGGCTAGCCATATGTAGAAAGCTGAAACTGGATCCATTCCTTCCACCTTATACAAAAATTAATTCAAGATGGATTAAAGACTTACATGTTAGACCTAAAACCATAGAAACCCTAGAAGAAAATCTAGGCAATACCATTCAGGACATAGGCATGGGCAAGGACTTCATTTGTAAAACACCAAAAGCAATGGCAACAAAAGCCAAAATTGACAAATGGGATCTAATTAAACTAAAGAGCTTCTGCACAGCAAAGGAAACTACCATCAGAGTGAACAGGCAACCTACAGAATGGGAGAAAATTTTTGCAATCTACTCATCTGACAAAGGGCTAATATCCAGAATCTACAAAGAACTCAAACAAACTTACAAGAAAAAAACAAACAACCGATCAAAAAGTGGGCAAAGGATATGAACAGACACTTTTCTTTTTAATTATTTATTTAAGGGGTACAAGTGCGGTTTTGTTACATAGATAGGTAGCATAGTGGTGTAACTATCTCCCTAATAGTGTATATTGTACCCATCAAGTTATTTCTCATCTCTCACCCCCCTCCAACTCCTGCCACCTTTCTGAGTATCCATTTTCTATTATTCCACTTTCTATTCCATGTGTGCTCATTGTTTAGCTCACACCTGTAAGTGAGAGCATGTGGTATTTGGCTTTATGCTTCTGAATAATTTCACCTATGATAATGGCCTCTAGTTTCATCCATGTTGCTGCAAAAGATATAGATATCATTCTTTTTATGACTGGGTAGTATTCTGTGGTATGTGTGTATATATATATATTCTAATGTATATATGCACATTAAAATATATACATAGCATATATTCTATAGTATACTTATATACACATACCACATTTTCTTTATCCAATCATCTATCAATGGGCACAGGTTCATTCCATACATTTTCTCTTGTGAATAACACTCTACTAAACATACAAGTTCAGGTATTTTGGGGGTATAATGATTTCTTTTCCTTTGAGTAGATTACTGGTAGTGGGATTGCTGAATTGAATAGGAGTTCTATTTTTAGCTCTTTGACAAATGTCCACACATTTTCCACAGAGGTTTATTAATTTATATTCACACCAATAGGATATAAGCACACTGTTATGTCTGTATCCTTGCCAACATCTATTGCTTTTTGAATTTTTTATGAAAGCCATTCTGACTTGTGTAGGATGGTATCTCACTGTGGTTTTAGCGTACCTTTCTCTGGTGATTAGTGATGTTTTTCATATGCTTGTCGGCCATTTCTATGTCTTCTTTTCTAAAATGTCTGTCCTTGTCCTTTGCCCACTTTTTAATAGGGTTATTTGCAGTGTTTTTTGGTTATTATTGAGATGTTTGAGTTCCTTGTAGATTTTGGATATTAGTCTTTTGTTGGATGCATAGTTTGCAAATATTTTTACCATTCTGCAGGTTGTCTGTTCACTTGGTTGATTATTTCTATTGTTGTGCAGATATTTTAGTTTAATTAAGTCCCATTTGTCTATGTTTTTGTTGCATTTGCTTTTGAGGTATTAATCATTTATTATTTGCCAAGGTCAATGTCCAGGAAAGCTTTTTTCCTAGATTTTCTTTTAGTACTTTTATAGTTTCAGGCCTTACTTTTAAGTCTTTAATGTATCTTGAGTTAATTTTTGGATCTGGTGAGAGATGAGTCCAATTTCATTCTTGTGCATGTGGCAATCCAATTTTTCCAGCACACTTTATTTAATAGGGTGTCCATTCCCTAATGTATGTTTTTGTTAACTTTGTCAAAGATAAGTCGACTGCAGGTATGTGGTTCTATATCTGGGTTCTCTATTCTGTTCCATTGACTTATGTGTCTGTGTTTATACTAATATCATGCTATTTAGGTCATTGTAGCCATGTAGTATAATTTGAAGTCAGGTAATGTGATGCTTCCAACTGTGTTATTTTTGTTTGGGATTGCTTTGGCTATTCAGGCTTTTTTTGTTTGTTTGTTTGTTTTATATGAATTTTAGGATTTGTAAAAAATGATGTTGGTATTTTGGTCAGAATTGCATTGAATCTGTAGATTGATTTGGGCAGGATGGTCGTTTTAATAATATTAATTCTTCTAATTCATGAGCATGGAATTTTTCCATTTGCTTGTGTCATCAACACTTTCTTTCATCAGGGTTTTGTAGTTTTGCTTGTAGCGATTTTCACCTCCTTGATTAAATGGACTCCTAGGCATTTTATTTATTTTTTTGTAGCTATTGTAAATGAGATTAACTTCTTGATTTGGTTCTCAGCTTGATCATGCTTTTCTTTAATTTTTAATGAACATTACATAACCTGATTTTCTTTGTTTTCTTCTTTGCACATTATCTGTTCAAAGTCTTTGCTCATTTTCTATTGAGCTAACTTTAACACTCTTTTGTAAGAGTGTTTTATAAGGAATACTTAATACTTATTTGAAAATATCTTTCAATTTTTTATTTTTAAATTTTGTGTTTGGTGAACTTTTAGACACAGCGTGTTTGCAACTTTAAACACAAAATAGTTCACACCTATTAATCTTTTTCCTTGTATAATTTTTGCCTGTGAGGTAATGATTCTTTGAAAGTACTTCTGTGTCCCACTCATAGAACATATCATTTGTATAGTTCTGTGTTTTTATGTTCTATTAAAACTTCAGCCCAAATGCAAATTACTTTGCCATATAGATCATGGCATTTATCTAATTTCACACTTTTCTTTTAATTGGCTTGTTACAAATCTAATCCTATGGTCTAAAAAAGCTATTATCAATAAACCCTTTGGAGTACCACTTTATTCTGTACTATCATTTTTATTGAGTATATTCTGAACAATTGATTCCATTTTAAAAATGTTTAAGTTTCATGTCATTTATTTATTTACAAATGAAACATCTCTGATACCTGCTCTGTTCTTAAGTTTTATATTCTTTGTAATCTTGACCTTAAGAATGGATTTATTTTTCCTTAACCTTTTGTCTGTACTAAATATGTGTTTGTCAGCTTCAGGTAGACACTTTCCATGGTGATGAAAATTAAAATAATACAGAGAGAAGCATATATTCATAACAGAAAAAAACAGTTTATTAGTCTAGAAATTAAGGCCATTTGAAATTATCTTTAACGGACAAAATCAGGAAGACATAGGGAACTTCATATATTTCATATATCCTTAGAAAATGTGGAAGTGAGAGCCCAGTGTCTTGGGAATATGGACTTTTGCATGACAGTCTACACTTTGTAACCCAATTTGATCTAATTATCTAAATTATTTGAGGCTCAGTATCCTTAAATGCAGATACAACGTCTCAACTGTTAAATGTAGGCAATCATAATATCATCAAATAATTATTGTAAGAAATGTATGTAAAATTGTTTGGTAAAAATTATTTGCTGTGCAAATATTAGACAATCTTTTGACTTTCACAAACTAATTTAAAATGTTCTCCTATTATATTTTCTTGGCATAGGCTTAGATATAAAGCTTTCCATTTTTAAGAGATAGGGTGATTCCTTCTGCAGCACAACCTCCACTGCATGGTTAAATCCCTAGATAGAGTTAGGATTTAACAGAGTTTTGCAAAACAGAAAAGTCTGGATGGAAAGTTTTCTCCTCTTGGCCCTTCAAACACATTACTGCTGCATTACTACTACTGTGTTTATTGTTTCTCCTGTTCCCTGGGATGGCAGCATGCTGTCCTATCTACTTTTTTTTTTTTTTTGAGACAGTCTTGCTCCATAGCCCAGGCTGGAGTGCAATGGCGCGACCTCGGGTCACTGCAACCTCCGCCTCCTGGGTTCAAGCAATTCTCCTACCTCAGACTGCCAAGTAGCTGGGATTACAGGTGCCCGCCGCCACACCCAGCTAATTGGCGTGTGTGTGTGTGTGTGTGTGTGTGTGTGTGTGTGTGTTTAGTAGAGATGGGCTTTCACCATGTTGGCCAGTGTGGTCTTGAACACTTGACCTCAGGTGATCTACCCGTCTTGGCCTCCCAAAGTGCTGGGATTACAGGTGTGAGCCACTGTGCCCGGCCATATCTACATTTTAATTGAAACTTTAAAAATGGGTAGAGTGAATAGAATGTAAAAATACTGTAAGAAACATGAAATACTAAAAATGTATTTGATTGCTGGACTTTTATCTTCTTATTCAAATATTCCCAGTCATGGTTATGCTTTCATTTTCTTGTTTCAGAAAAATAAATTAAAAATGTAATAATGACACATAGGTGGATTTCCAGAAACTGAAGGATTCAAGTATTCATTTTTAACCATAATTTTATGTTTTAAATTAAGTCAAATTTTGAAATAGTACTTTCTATAGAAACGAATTTCAGTGATAGAAATCCAAATGCTGAACTTTTTATTTGAAAATGTAAAACTATAGAAAATATGCCATAGAAGGTTAATATTAATTATAATATTTTGAAATAGTTTTGATTTAAAAGTAGTCAAATTTCTCCCAAGTAAATTTATTCATCACTTTTTCTTATTTCCTAATAACTATGTGTTAATTCAAATTGAATGAGAATAGATAGGCATCTTTGATTTAACTGAAACAAATCCTGATCCTTTTTTATTGACCTTTCCATGGGGCATTTACAAAATTTTGAATTAAGGCTTATGTTAAAACAAAAAGAGAAGTTGAAAGTAGCCTCATGGAGCTAATGCCTTGGTTTCCAATGAATTAAAGCATTAGAAACATCACTTATTTCCTGACAATGTCTTGGGAATATGGACTTTTGCATGGGAATCAACACTTTGCAACCCAATTTGATCTAGTTATCTAAATTATTTGAGGCTCAGTATCCTCAAATGCAGATACAATGTCCTCAATGACACAAAAAGGCCAAATTTCTCTTTGTGAATAGCCAGTAACTGTGTATGTTATCTTAGGCCAGCATGACCTACAAATAAAGCACCCTGACAGAGACATAGTGAGTCATTTCAACAGCTCAGTTAGGCAGGACCCAGTGAGAACCAAATTGCTTTCCTCTCAAACCCAAGCTCATCATTGTTCATTTGAGAGTTATATGGAAAATAGATTGTAATGGTCTCCATAACATCCGACTTAATGTTACTCTTCTAATTACTATGTTTTTTAAAAGTGTATTTTCCTGATAATATATAATTGCGCGTCACTCTATAACCCACTTCCCTTGGTTGTTTTGTATTTTTTTTATTTTTATTTTTTTCCCAAACAACAGCAGTAGACAATGAGGCCCTGGAGAGGTACCACACACATGCACACACACTCATACTCACACTTAAGCATTAAGGAAAAATTTTAGCCCAGAAACATTTTAAATTTTATTTGTTATTATGTCCACATTGATCTCTAACATTTGGGTAGTATATTATATAAATTAAAACTTTCACCTTAACAAAAATGAAGATAATGTGGACTGCTAATGCATACATTGAAATTTCTAGGTGCCAGTTTACTGGGTAAAGGAAATGGTATCTCATTCTCTGTATCGTCACTGCAACTCTGCAAAGTAGGCTTATTTTACAGGTGAGGAAAATGAGGCTCATAAAAGGCCAAAAATATTGCACACATTCATTAATGGAGAATCAAGTGTGCATTTTGTCAGATTCCAAGGCTTAATCTCTATCCATTGCATTATGCTCTTCCTTTAAATATTCACTGTTGTATATGTTTTATTTCTTTAGCCATTTGAGTATCTCTATTGTCCTCATTTTACATTTGTAAACTGAGTCTCAGACCATAATATGCAATAGCTAAGGTCTCTCAAAGAAAAGGTGGAAAAACTGGCCTATACTTTCATCTTTTGAGTCTAGATCTTTAACTCTTTGTACTACAAAATACATGAAAGAAAATTTTTTTCTAAGAGTCTGTACTAAGATACTGATTAACATGCAAAGAAAAATCACCCTGACAACCCACAAACAAACAAACACAAAACAACCAACTAATCAGTGATAATCATATAATTATTGGGCCTCTGAGGGCCACTGCATCCTTGTCTAGTATCTGGCAGAGAGGAGATGCTCAAAAAAGATTATTAAAAGCATTAGTATATGTTTTCATGTGATTTTTTATTAAAAACAATCTCCAGATATAGCCAATTTCCATTCAGGTCAAAATCCTACAGGTTATTTACAGAGGTATAAAAATGAAGTTGGCTTATACATGACATCATCGAACCAAAGTTAGAAAATGTACATTCAAAAGTTGGAAGAGAAATTATTGTGCCCAGATAATGAAGGCATATATTGCAATAAGTCTCTCTAGTTATTTCCGGGCACTATAGTCCTTGTTTTTAATCTCTGTTCTACATAAAATGCACATGATTTATAATACATCATCTTTGAGAAGTACATTTTGAAAAATGTATGATTACTGCCCTACCACTCTATATGATGTTTTTAACAAAACAAAGTGAAGGAAAAAAATCATCTTACATTTCATTCCAAGTGCAAGTGTTAATTCATCATTGTCAAGGGTAACGCTGCGAAATTTGTTGCGGTGTTAACAGTGTGTGTGTCTCTCTAACGCTGTGGGCACTGAGAGACCTTGTTAACACATATGAGGTAACAGTAAATAGCCTTGTTAATTTGTTGATCCTAAAGAGAAGGTTCTTAAGCCTTTTACATTTTAAACATGAAGACTTGTTATACACAGTTCTTTCACTTTGTGTTAAGAAACTGGTTGGGGATTTTGGGTTGTCATCAACACATTCTATTTTTTGACAGTTAATCAGAAATGGGTATTAAGTTAGTGTTTGGTGCCAAATGGCTGATGTTATGTGGGTAATGTCTGTATAATTAAAGCAGATTTAGATGTTAAAATAAAGAGTGTTGACAATATACAATAATTAAAAAATTATGCTGTCTGCTTTTTCTTTCCAAAGAGCTGGCTTAAATGTGTAATTCGACCTATTTGGATGTTGATGAATACATCCAAAGCAATAGTTCAAGATTGAATTAGTCATACTGTAGAAAGACTACCATGGTAATTCACAACAGTGGAGGTGACTTTAAACCTTTTATTTATATCTCTGATAATAAAATTGAACAAAATAACAACTATTACATTTAGAATAACACATATAAATAAAATGTTTAAAAAAAGGCAATGCCTTGGCAAAGTATAGGATGATGATGAAGAAAAGGATATGTAATTTTTTTCACTTAATTTAAAATAATTGCTTAAAATTAAAATAGTACAGGTTCTTTTAGTAGTTACATGAAGCAAAAATATGTAGTTATTGGAAGAATGTGGGGTATTTCCATGGAACAGCCAAGCCATAGATAGGAAGGGCCAGGTTCAGACTGGACTTCAGGAACACTACAATATTGATTATTTTCTTTTAGCTCTCTTCTTTCTCATTAAAAACTAATTTTTATTCCACAATCAGTTAAATGTAGCCCCTGAAAGTTTCTAAATTTACATCGTACAGCTTTAGCACAGGCTTAAGCTCCAGAGTACAGGGAAAGTTCACTGTCCTGACTCCAGCCAGGTTTCCACCCAAGATGATTCCGCTCAGAGAAGGCAGAAGTGTTGAAATGTTGAAAATTTCTTAAGGAAATATTATTAAGAAAGGTGAAGGCTCTGAGATTTTATCCTACTTATGAGGGTCAGGCTGCCACAGACTCATGGATGCTGGCAAAAGACATAAGTTTCCAGAGTAAAAACAAAGGACATTGTTACTAGTGGTGCAGCATGCAGCCTGAGCTTTATGTTTTGTAAAAATAGATTTATTGAGACAGAATTTGCAAACCATATAATTCACGCACTTAAAGTGTACAAAGGAATATTTTTCAATATATTCACGGATATGTGCAACCATCTTCACAGTCAATTTTAGATTTTCGTTTCCTTAAAAAAATCTCTGAAACGTTTAGATGTCCATTCCTCCAACTGTCTATTCCCCTTCCCTTAGCCCTAAGAAAGCATTTAATCTACTTTTTGTCTCTATAGATTTCCCTGTTTTTTACTTCGATGTGAATGAAATAATAGTTTGTAAAAGTTTTGACTAACTTCTTTCATTTGGCGTAATGCTTTTGAGTTTCACCCATATTGTAGCATGTGTTAATACTTTATTTTTACGTCCAAATAATATTCCAATGTATGGCTATATTACATTTTGTTTATCCATATATCTGTCAATGGACATTTGAGTTATTTCTACTTTTTGGCTACTATGATTAATGACCATTTTTGTGTAGCTTTTATATAGATATTAATTTTTATTTATCTTGGTTATATACCTAGGAGTTGAATTGCTGGGTCATATGGTAACTTTGTATTTAATTGTTTGAGTAACAGCCGGACTGTTTTCCAAAGTGACTGCACCACTTACATTCCCACCAACAGTGTGTAAGGGTTCCAATTTCTCCACGCTCTCACCAATCCTTGTTATGATCTGTGTTCTTGATCCTAGTCATCCTAATGGTGTGAAATAGTATTTCACTGTGGTTTTTGTTTTTTAGTATTTCCCTCAAAACTAGTGATGTTGACCATCTTTTGTTTATTTTCATTTGAGAAATGGCTAAAGTATTTTGCTCATTTTTAAATGGGGCTTTTTTTTATTATTGACTTGTAAGTGTTCCTTATGTATTCTAGACACAAGTTTCTTAGATATATGATTAACAAATATTTTCTACCATTCCGTGGTTTGTGTTTTCATTTTCTTGATGGAGATAGGATCACTTGAAGGATCTTGAAGAATCACTTTCTTGCCTTAAAAGAAACTATTATGGTAGTTTAATTAGCTAATCAACATTTATTATATTAGTTATACAGTTTATAAATTATTATATATATTTATTCATAGTTATTCAATTTTCTTTTCAAGTCATCTGTATTGTTGTATTTCTGTTTCTTTCCTCTGGCAAAAATCTACATATTACATTTATTGAATTACATAACTTAAATCTATATATAGATATAATACATATCTATATTATATAATATATTATATATAATATATATAATATTAAATATTGTTCATCAAAAGATCTTAAGATCATCTTAATGATGCTGGTGTAGGCAAGATTTATATTAATGTAATATATCTATATTATATATAATATTATATATTATATTACATTAATATAAATCTTGCCTACACCAGCATCATTAAGATGATCTTAAGATCTTTTGATGAACAATTTCTAAAATTTTGATGAAGTCAAATTTATCTTTTCTCTTCTTTCTTTCATCTCTTGGACCTTTCATGTCATATCTAGGTATATCCAGTGCCAAATCCAAGATCATAAATATTTATGCCCATGTTTTTGTCCCAAGCATTTTAAAGTTTTAGCTCTTCCACTTATGTCTCCTATTTTATTCTTCTTTTTACAGGATTATTTTGGCTGTTCTGAGTCCTTTGCAATTCTGTATGAATTTTAGAATCAGCTTGTCAATTTCTACAAGAAAGAAAGCTGGAATTCTGACAGCATCGGTGGTAAATCTGTAGATCGGCTTAGTGATTTTTTGCCATTTAAAAATATTAAGTCTTCAATTTCTGAACGTACGATGTTTTTGCATTTATTTAGATCATCTTTATTTTCTGTTAACAACATTTTGTAGTTTTCATATTATTAGTTTTGTATTTCTTTTGCTAAATGTATTTCTAAATCTTTCATTATTTTTGAAGCCACTGTGAATGGAATTTTCTGAGATTCATATTTGTATCAGTTCCCTTTGGCACCAAAGCTCCGAAGGTTGCTGCACACACACTGGGTGTACATCATGTACGATGATCCCCAGGCTTGGGCAAAGCCAATTCTTAAAGGAAGTGCAAGCACACCTACCCAGAATTTGTCCTGGAGAAAGAAATTTTAAGTATCTTGAAAGGCAAACAAATTTGCCCTCTATTCTGAAGGGAAACACTATTTCTGTCTTCAAAGATATATGCTACCCAAACATCTTTGCAAAGACATTCTGGAACAAAAGCTGGTACATGATGTGCAGAAACACCGGAGACCTAAGAAGAATTGTTTCCTAACAAATAAATGTGTAGAATGGCGGAACAGAATTCCCCATGAAAGAAGTGAGTTCTGGAAACATAAAGAAAGAAAATTAAATGAGACAAAATAAAATTAGAAGACAGCAAGCATGAAATTGTAGAAACAGTTTATTTTTAATAAGCCAAAAATTATCACAAAAAGTTATAAAAATCCAGAACATTTGGGTCCCAAACATTGTAATTTATAGACTTTTGCCAGAGGAAAGAAACAGAAATACAGCAATATAGAGGACTTGAAGAGAAAATTGAATGATTATTAATAACTATATATAATTTATAAAATTTGTATAATTAATTTAAAAAATTTTGGTTAGCTAATAAGATGCTGTAAAATTTCCTTTTAAGGCAAATACAATAAATATATGACAACTGCATTATGTAATAGTTCTCCAAAGGTAACCTTATTAATTTTGAAGAACAATAATTGTACTGGATATCTTGTTTAACAAAATGAATACAACTAGAAGTGTATTTAGAAATATACAGCAAATAGTTGAAATTATGAATTACTTAGAAATCAATAAACACAACCATAAGAATATTGTCAGAGAGGAAATAGTGTCTCTATTCGTAGACTCTCTAGAAAATATTAAAATAAATAAAATTATGCTGGGTACTTGTGAGTGAATTAATATCCCTAAATTCTTTCATTATAAAATCATAAAGTATATAAATATGCTTGTAGTGTTTCTAAATAGCTACTAAAACAATTTCAAAGACTATGTGTTACAAATAATTCCTCTAATCAGAGGGTTTTCTTTGAACTGTCTTGTGTTTTTCATAAACATATTCATAATTTTAATTTTGTTTATTTTTCCAGCTTTTGTGTGGTTTCCACTTTATATTTTCCTATATAAATCTTGCTTACATGAACAACACTAAGGTGTTCTTTGTTTTCTTCTAGAGGCTTGTTTTACCTTTATAACTAGATTTTAATAATCAAATTCATCTAGACTAGATTTTTGGCTGTTTAATCAAAATTTATTTCTCCTATAACTGGGGAATTAATCCAGTGTTGGTATTGATAAGACCATCCATTATGCAGTTTTATTTTTATCATATACCAAGTGACATTGTGTCGCTCTGTTTCTGGAGCCCTATTCTTTTTTATTGGTACACTTGTCTATTCTCTCACCAACATCACAGTGTTTGAATTACGACAGTTTATAATAAGTATTGCTCTTTAGTAGTATAAGTCTTCTAGCTTGGTTGTTTTCCGAGACTGTCTTGTCTCTTACTGACTCTATGCATTATGATACAAATTTTAGAGTTATTGTAGCTTGCCAGTTTATATGCACAGATACATACAGGTTGCCAAGACAGTCATTGGGATTACATCTAATCTATACATCAATTTGATGAGAACTGTCATTTTCAAAATGCCATATTGAGGTTTCCAGTCCACAAATATGATATGTCCGTCCATTGAGTTCCATCTTCTATGTAGAGGTTATGCAAATCTTTATTTGATTTATTCCTAAGTATTTGATGTTGATTAATCCATTCATAAGTGATTTCTTCCCTCAATTTCAGTTCCCAGCATGTTAGTGTTGGCATAAAGAGGCAAAATTGATGTGTGTGTTTGTGTGTGTATTGATCTCGTATAAACTGAACCGCTAAAGCCACTTACTAAATTCTAATAGTTTAACTGAAGAGTATGTTGCATATTCCACATACAAGTATGTTGTCATATTTTTTATTTGCCTTATTTCACATTCTAGAAGGTGTAGTACAAGAGGAAAAGAAGAATTTATAGTGGATATATTTTATAGGTACTGATCTCAAGGGAAACATTTTCAGTATTTCACCATTAAGTTCTTTTCAAAGGACTAAATTATGACTTTGTTAACTTTTCTTAAATGTGCATATGTTTCTATTGATTTCTACTCTTATTGCCATAGCTTCCTTTCTTCTATTACATTGTGTTTAATTTGTTTAGTTTATTTTTAAGCTAATTTCTTTGACCTATGAGTATTTAGTATTGATTTATTGTTTTGTTTCCAAACATTTAGGAATTTTCTAGTTTTCCTTTAGTTATAAATTTCTGCCTACCTTATTTCCAAAGTGATTAGATAGCAAACTCACTTCAATTGAATCATCTGAAATCTCTCATGACTTGCTTTAAGGCAAAGCATATGATGGATTTTGTAAATTTTCCATTTTCACTTGAAAATAATACATTTCTGAAGTTGTTGGTTGACATGTTCCATATATATACCAAGTTAATCAAGTTTATTAACACTTTTCTTTATAGTTTCAATAACTCTACTGATTTGTTTTGCTTTTTCTGTTCTTGAGACCAGTTTATTAAATTTTCAAGTGATGGCTATGAATTTGTTCATTTCTCAACTTTGTTTTACATATTTTCAAGCAATGTTAATAGATGCAGGGGATTTTAAGATTTTAATACCTCCCTATTTAGTTGACCCTTTTGTTATTTTGAAATGTCCCTCCTTATGTCTCAGTAATATGTTTTCCCGTAATCTTACTAATATATTTACAGCAGTCCTTTTGGTTAATGTTTGCGTAAGATATTTTTTCTCAACCTTTACTTTCAAACTTTGTTTAAACATGTCTTCTGTAAGCACAAGATCTGGTCTTTTAATCTGCCTAGCAATTGTCTTTCAATTGGAGCTTTTTATGTATTTAAGTTTAAAGTAATTACTATTATATTTGTATTTAAGTCTACCATCATGGTTTCTGTTTTCATGCTCATGTAAATCATTCCCATTAAAAGTCTATGGTGCTTTCACATTTGAAGATTATTATCTCTGGGAATAGAATTCCTCTGGTAGGCAGCAAAGAGGCAAAATATCTCCATCCAATACAGTCCAGGAGCCCATTTAGGGTTAGCTTGCTGGCTTTTCATGACTTGTTTTACTTCTGGTTTACCCCCACTCCTAGAATCTGGTGCTCCAGGGGTCCCAACTGAGTTCCTGTGGCCTTTTCTACGATTCCTCTCCTTTGATGGCTCCTGAATTCCAATTCTGTCCACCATCAGCATGAGGTTGCTAAAATCTCTGCTTGCTATTCAGTCACTGTGCTTGAATTTTTTGTTTCTTGGCATGGAAGGCTGATTGATCATCTCAAGGGAAAATAGGTGGTGAGTGTTGGTAGCACTTCTTTTCAGCCCTCTTTCTCCTTAGGATCCTGGGCCCTCATGTTCTATCTGCCTTGACAGAATGAAACCCTAATTTATTTTCCTTTATGCCTCCATGATATTGCCTGAAGCTCTGAGAGATACCTGGACTTTCTGGACAATTCTGGCCTGCCTCCTTGCTCCAAGAACCACATGTGGTGGGAGGAATAAGCAGTGTTCAGAAGGCTCTGTTTCCTTCTATGCTTTTGCTCCTCAAGTCCTTGGTGCCTTGGCATGTTCCAAGATTTTAAACAAATTAAATATAATTATAAAGAGAATATATGTGTGTGTAAAATTCTTTATTTAGCTATTCTCAAACTGGAGCATTGGTCTTCCACAAGGCATACCATGAAAGGTGGCAGTGAAAATCTTACTGTGGTTTAAACCTTCATTTCTGATAATACTTATGAGCTAGAACACCTTTCACATTTTCATTTACCATTCATATACTATCTATTTTATGCAACATTTCAGCATACTTTGACCATTTGTCTCTTGTGTTGTTGATTTTTGAGTAATTTATTTTTAGAAGTTATCCATATGTTCCAGACACAAATTTTATGATGGTTATAAGATTGGTAGACATAGTCTCTCACTGTATAGCTTGCCATTTCCTTCTCAAAATGATGTATTTTGAGAAACTATGGTTGTTAATTTTAATGTAGTTGAATTTATCAATATTTTCAATTATGATGAATGTTTTTGTGTCTTATCTGGAGAATATTTCTCTATACCAAGAATATAGAGCTGCTTATAGTATTTTTCTAGAATTTTATTTTCTACATTGACATTTTGATAAAAATTGATCCAAAATTGACTTCTTATGGTATAAAATAGGTATCATTTTTATTAATTTTGATGCTGATATTCAATAAATTCAATATTAAATTAAAACATAAATTTTGTCTTTATTACTCTGCAGTGTCAATTTAGTTTTAAATCAAGTGTTCATCTGTGGGAATGTATATTTTTGTAATCTCCACTCCATTCTATTGCTTGATTGGTTTACTGCTGCAGAAAAATGCCACCATGTCTTAGTTACAGTAGTCTTAAAATAAGTTTGATATTGAGATCTTATCCATGCAGTAGGTTATTATTTTAATAGATTGATTATTTATGCTGGCCTTCTTCCTACTGTTGGGTTACTAGACATTTATTCAGTATTCCATTTTTATTTATAATTATTATTTATTTATTTTGAGATAAAGTCTCCCTTTGTCACCCAGGCTGGAGTGCAGGGTCATGATCTCAGTTCACTGTAACCTCCATCTCCTGGGTTCAAGCAATTCTTCTGCCTCAGCCTCCCAAGTAGCTGGTACGATCTCTTCTCACTGCAACCTCTTCCTCCCATGTTCAAGTGATTCTCCTGCTTCAGCCTCCTGAGTAGCTGGGATTACAGGCATGTGCCATCAAGTCTGGCTAATTTTTATATTTTTAGTAGAGATGGGGTTTCACCATATTGGCCAGGCTAGTCTTGAACTCCTGACCTCAAGTGATCCACCCGCCTCATCCTCCCAAAGTGTGAGATTATAGGCATGAGCTACAGAGCCTGGCCCATTTTAATTTATTAATTGCAACTTTGGCTATGTCTCTTCCAAAAGTTTTTCTGAAGGAGTTGATCTAGAGATTAAAAACATATAACTAACCTTCACGTTCTACCTAGAATCAATATTTTACCACTTCAAATTGGAATGTAGAAACCTTACCTCAGAGACCTCTTCCCTCTTTCATCTTCAAATGAAATATATATTTATATATTACATATATGTTATCCACATACACTGAAAACTAAGAAAATTTGATGAATTTTGCTTTCTACTGACAAACTTATTTTAAAGAACTAAATAGAACGAGAATATCTATTATAAGTAACCAATTTTACTATTTCTGTTTCTCGTTTTTATGACTTTGGATGTTACAAGTTTCCTTCTGGTAACTTTTCCTTCTGCCAGAAAAGATTCCTTTGGAAAATCTTTCAGAATACATCAGCTGGCTACAAACCCGCTTTGTTTTCCTTCATCTGAGAATTTCTTTATTTTACTTTCATTGTTGAATGATGTTTTCACTGACTATATAATTCTGGGCTGTCAGTTCTTCCCTTCCAACAATTTAATAATATTGTGCCATCCTTCTAGCCTCCATGATTTCTGATTAGAAATTTGAAATAGTTTGAATTGTTTCGTACAGAAAATGTGCCTTGTTTATCCAACTGCTCTCAAAATTTTTATTTTTCTTGAGTTTCCAACAGGTTGATTGCTAGGTTCCTGTGCATGGTTCCTGTTGGTGGTTCATTCTGCTCTTGAATAGGTAGGTTTACATCTGTTTCAGTCATTTCAGCCTTCTATAACAAATATCTTACAGGATGGGTGGCTTAAAGTATATACATTTATCTTCCCAGGAGGCTGGGAAATCCAATATTAAGTTGCTGGCAGATCTAGTGTCTGCTGAGGGCATTCTTTCTGGTTTTCTGACAGCTGATGGCTGTTTTCTCAGCCATCTGTATTCTCACATGGTGGAGAACAGAGAGGAAGCTCCATCCTCATGACCTAACTACTGCTCAAAGGCCCCACTTCCTAATACCATCACATTGGTGATTTGGTGTCAACATATGCATTTTGAAGGAATGCAAATATTCAGTCCATAACATTCTGCACCAAGACCCCGAAAGTTCATGTCCTTTTACATGCACAGTACATTCATTCTATCCCAACAAACCCAATACTAATAACTAATTGCAGCACCAACTCTGAAGTCTAATGTCCAAAGTTTCATCTAAATATCATCTAAATCAGATAAGGGCGAGATTCAAGGTACAATTTGTTCTGAGACAAAATATCTCTTGGGCTGCAAACTTGTGCAACTGAAACATCTATGTGCTTCCAAAATACAATGGTAAGACAAGTATAGGACAGGCATCTTTATTCTAAAAGGGAAAAGTAAAAAGGAAGAAAGGAAGAAGTTGGTGATGGGTCCCAAGCAAGCCCGAAACCTAGTAAGTAAAATCCCATTAGATCTTAGGCTATGAAAATAATCCTCCTTGGCTTGAATCTCTGCCTTTCAAAACCAGTGGGGACAAAAGTACCACCCCCAGGACCTACTGGGGTGGTGGTCCCACCTGCACCCACTGGGGCTGGGAAGGGGTTGCACCCCCAAAACTCTGAGTGGTGTCTATCTGGCCTGCTGAAAGCATCTGGCTTATTAAAAAGCAAGGTAACGGTGGCCCCTCTGAAACAGAGGCAGCACCTCTAATGATCTCTGAATCTTCTTAGCAGCCATGCTTCCCTTGTCTTGGAGAACAGTACACGTTCAAAGATGAAAAGCTCTATGGTCCCATCCTGTAAAATTCAAGAAGTCTGAGAGCATTCCTTAATTCTTTCCCATCTCCTTCTGCTTCAGTTCAAACTGGCAGTTGATGAGGTGTCTGATTTAAGTTTGTGATTCACACCTATACAATCTATCTTATCAAACTGTTGCTTTGCCAAACCCTTAGTGTTCTCTTCTGAACATATTATTTGAAAAATAATTCTGAGTTTTAATAATTGCCATTCTTACTGGCATGAGATGATCTCATTGTGGTTTTGATTTGCATTTCTTTAATGATCAAAGATGTTGAGCTTTTTATCGTATGTGTGTTGGCTGCATAAATGTCTTCTTTTGAGAAGTGTCTGTTCATATTCCTTTGCCAACTTTTTGATGGAGTTCTTTGGTTTTTTTCTTATGAGTTTTTTAAGTTACCCATAAATTCTGGATATTACACCTGTGCCAGATGGATAGATAGCAAAATTTTTCTCCCATTCTGTAGGTTGGCTGTTCACTCTGACGATAGTTTCTTTTTTTGTGCAGAAGCTCTTTAGTTTAATTAGATCGCATTTGTGAAATTTAGCTTTTGATGCAATTGCTTTTGGTGATTTCATCATAAAATCTTTGCCCATGCCTATGTCCTGAATGGTATTGTCTAGGTTTTCTTCTAGGATTTTGATGGTTTTGGGTTTTACATTGAAGTCTTTAATTCATCTTGAGTTAATTTTTAAAAAGGAATGCTTTTACATAGTTGGTGGGAATGTAAATTAGTTCAACCATTGTGAAAGACACTGTGGCAATTCCTCAAGGATCTAGAACCAAAAATACCATTTGACCTAGTAATCCATTACTGAGTATATACCCAAAGGAATATAAATCAGTCTGTTATAAAGATACATGCATACATACGTTTATTGTGGCACTATTCACAATAGCAAAGACATGGAATCAACCCAAATGCCCATCAATGATAGACTGGATAAAGAAAATGTGTTACACATATACCATGGAATACTATGCAGCCACAAAAAGGAATGAGATCATGTCATTTGCAGGGACATGAATGAAACTGGAAGCCATCATCCTTAGCAAATTAACATGGGAATAGAAAACCAAACACTGCATGTTCTCACTCATAAGTGTTGAGTTGAACAACGAGAACACTTGGACACAGGGAGGGGAACAACACACAAGGGGGCCTGTTAGGGGTGGAAGGGGAGGGAGAGCATCAGGACAGATTGCTAATGTATGCGAGGCTTAAAACCTAGGTGATGGGTTGATACGTGCAGCAAACCATCATGACACATGTATACCTGTGTATCACACCTGTACGTTCTGTGTATGTATCCCGGAACTTAAAGTGAAAATAAAAAAGATATACTGAGAATTTCCCAAATTTTTACATTCCAGTTCCTTTTTGTTTAATAATTCCATCTTCAAGTCACTTATCTCCTCTTGCATTTACTATAAGCAGTCAGCAGGAACCAAATACTCCTTCAACAGTTTAATTGGAAATCTTCTCAGCTAAATGTCTAATTTCATTGCTTGCAAGTTCTCCCACAACACAGTAGACCACAAACACAAGTAAGACAAATTTATTACCACATTACAAGGATCATCTTTTTCTCCACTGTCCAATGACATATTTCTCATTTCTTTCTCAGATCCTGTCAAAATGGCCTGTACTGTCTATATTTCTACCAATATTCAGTACATTATTAGTTATGGATTCTCAAAAAAGACAGATGCTTTCTTGACAGCTACACTTTTTCTTTTTTGAGTTCTCCCTAAGTTCACCTTTAAATATCCTTCGTGATAATCTCAGCTTCCTTTAACATGAACTTTAAAACTCTTCCAGCCTCTACCCTACCCACTACCCAGTTCCAAAACTGCTTGCACATTTTCAAGTATTTGTTTTACTAGCACTCCCACTCACAGTACCAATTTCTGTTTTTGTCAGTTTGGACTGCTATAACAAATATACCATAGACTGTGTGGCTTAAACAACGATCACTTATTTCTCACAATTCTGGAGGCTAGGAAGTCCAATATCAAGGTGCTGACATACATGGTAACTGCTGAGGGCACCTTTTCTTATTTGCAGATGTTTGTGTTCTCATTGTATTCTCACATGGTGAAGAGTGGAGAAAGAGCAAGTAAGCTTTCTCTGGTCTCTTTATGTAAGGATACTGATCCCATCAGGTGAGCTCTACTCTCAAGGCATAATCATCTCCTACAGGCCCCACATATCACCAAATTGCCATGGGGGGCATAAACATTCAGTTCATAGCAATGACATTTGCCAAGCTTGAGACTGTTCTGCCATTTTTTCTTCAAACATTTTTTTCAGAATTGCCTTCTGCCCCCTTTAAATCTGAAACTCTGATGGCATTAATGTTATCTGTTTGTTGTTGGCCCAGAGGTCCCTGAATCACTCTTCTTTTTTTTTTTTTTTTAGACAGTTTCCTTCTGTCACTCAGGCTGGTGTACAATGGTACAATCTCTTCTCACTGCAACCTCTTCCTCCCATGTTCAACTGATTCTCCTGCTTCAGCCTCCAGAGTAGCTGGGATTACAGGCATGTGCCACCACACCAGGATAATTTTTGTAATTTTAGTAGAGATGGGGTTTCACTATGTTGGCCGGGCTGGTCTCGAACTCCTGACCTCAAATTACCCACCAGCCTCATGCTCCCAAAGTCCTGGGATTATAGGCATGAGCCACCACGCCTGGCTGATCACTCTTCATTTAAAAAAAAAAAAATTTATTCCTTTTGTGATTTAGAATGGGTACAATATGAGTTTTTAACGACTGCCACAGCAAAGTACCACAGACTGGGAGGCTTCAAACATTTATTGTCTTGAGAAATAGTACACATTCACAGGTGAATAACATTATGATCTCATCCTGTAAAATCCAAGAAGTCTGAAAGCCTTCCTAAATTCCTTCCCATCTCCTTCTGCTTCTGCGTCTGGCTTGTTTCACTTAGTACGATGTCCTTGAGATTCATTCATGCTGTCACCAATGAAGGGATTTCCTTCTTTTTAATGGCTGAATATCCCATTGCATATATATAGACCACATTTATTTATTCATTCATCAGTGGACATTTATGTGCCTTTCATGTCTTAACTATTGTAAATAATACTGCAGTGTTCATGTGAGTGCAGATATCTCTTAAAGATTCTGATTTCAATTCCTTTGGATATGTACCCAGATGTGAGATTGACAAAACATACAGTAATTATATTTTTAATTTTCTGAGAGACCTCCATACTGTTTTCTGTACTAGCTGTGCCAACTTACATTCCCACCAACAGTGTACATGGGTCCTTCTTTCTCTACATTCTTGCCAACATGTTACTTTATTTTTTGTAACAGACATTCTAACAGGTGTGAGGTGGTATCTCAATTCGATCTTGATTTATATTTCCTTGCTTATTTGTCATGTTGAGCACCTTTTAATATAACCATTGACAATTCATATATCTGGAGAAATGTCTGTTCAGTTCTTTTGCTCATTTTTAGTAATTTGTTTTGTTTTGCTATTAATTTGTAGGAGTTCCTTATAAATTATGGATGTTAATACTTTGTCAGTTAGATTTTTTCCAAATATTTTATCCCATTCTGTAGGTTGCCTTTTTATTTTGTTGATTGCACCCTTTGGAGCAGAGGTTTTTTACTTTAATGTAATCCCACTTATAACTTTGTATTTCTGTTGCCTATGATTTGGTGTCATGGGCAAAATCATTGCCAAGCCCAATGTTGTAAAGATTTTATCTGTTTTTTTTTTTCTCTAGGACTTTTACAGTTTCAGATCTTATGCTTTAAATGTCTAATTCATTTTGAGTTTATTTTTACTAATGGGATAAAAATGAGGGTCAAATAGCCTTCTTTTGCATGTGGATATCTAGTTTTCCCAACACTATTTATTGAAGAGACTATCCTTTCCTCATTGCATATTCTTGGCATTTTGGTCAAAGATCAGTTAATTACCTATAAGTGGGTTTATTTTGGGGCTTTCTATTCTGTTGTGTTAGTCTATATGTCTGTTTTTATGCCAGTGCTGTATTGTTTTAATTACTTTAGCTTTGTAATATAATTTGAAATCAAGAATGTGATGTCTCCAGCTTTGTTCTTACTCAATACTGCTTTGGCTGTTTGGTGTCTTTGTGATTCGATATGAATTTCATGATTTTAAAAAAATTTTTGACAAAAATGCCACTGAGACTTTTGGTAGAGATTACATTAAATTTGCAGATCACTTTTAATAGTATGGACATTTTAGCAATATTAATTTTTCCAGTCCATGAATGTGGGATGTCTTTCCACTTACCTGTGTCTGCTTTAATTTTTTTAATCAGTGATTTTTAGTTTTCGATATACAAGTCTTTTATCACCTTCGCTTAAAATTTTTCTAGATATTTTATTCTTTTTGATGTTATTGTGGATGAAATTATTTTATTAATTTCTTATTGGATAATTCATTATTAATGTATAAAAACACAACTGATTTTTGTATGTTGATCCTTTTATACAACTGCTGAATTTGTGTATTAGTTCTATCTGGTTGTATGTGTAATCTATAGGGTTTTCTGCATGTAAGATTATGTCATCTGTAAACTAAGAAAATTTCACTTTTTCCTTTCTTATTTTATACCTTTTATTTATTTTTTGCCTCATTGCTCTAGTTTCCTGTACTTTGTTGATTAGAAGTTGTGAAAGTGGGCATCCTTGCCTTGCTAAGATCCCAGACTTTAGTGGAAAATTTTTCATTTTTGCATTGCCGAGTGTGATGTGAGAGGTCTGCTTTTCACAAATGGCCTTTATTTTGTTGAGACAAGTTCCTTCTATACCTATTTTGTTGAGAATTTTTATCACGAAAGGGTGTTGAATTAAATGCTTTTTTCTGCATCTATTGAGATGGCCATTTGATTTTTATCCATCAATCTTTTAATTTGGTGTATCATTGATAAATTTGCATGTGATAAACCATCTTTATAGCACAGGGATAAGTTTCACTTGGTCATGGTGTATGATGCTTTTAATCGATTTATGCCTGAGGTTGCAATTTTTTGAATTTTTGCAATCAGACCTTGGCTATGACCTTGAGCAGTAGGATATAAATAACTCGCACATGCTTAGTGTTCCAATAAAGGGAACACTAGGCATAAATGGGCTTTACTATGTGGTTGAATTTGCTTTTCTAATATTGTGGAGGATACTTGCAACCATATTCCTCAGGCATTTTGGTCTACAGTTTTCTTTTCTTATAGTGTCTTTTTCTAGTGTTTGTATCAGAGTAATGCAGACCTCATAAAAACAGTTGAGAAAATTACCTATTCTATTTTTTAAAGAATTTGAGACGTATTGGCATTCATTCTTCTGTAAGGGTTTGGCAGAAGTCATCTGTGAAGCCATCTGGCCCTGGGCTTTTTCTCTTTGGAAAGGTATTAATTACCAATTCAGTTTTTTTTAATTTCTAATTGATCTATTTAAGCTTCCTATTTTTCATTGATTCAGTCTTGGTAGGTTGTATGTTTTTAACAATTTTGTACAATTTTTAATGTAAAATTTTTCATAATATTCTCTGTGATCTGCTTTATATATGGCATTGGTTATAATATTTTTCTTCATTTCTGATTTTATTTGTATCTTCTGTCTTCTTTTAGTCTAGCAAACTATTTGTCATTTTTGTTTATTTTTTCAAATAACAATGAATTTTTGTTCAGTATTTTCTATTGTTTTCCTAGTGTCTATTTTGTTTATTTATGCTGCAATCTTTATTATTTCCTTCCTTCTGCTATATCTGGGCTTGATTTGTTATTCTTGTTCTTTTTCTAGTTCTTTGAGATGTAATGTTAGGTTGTATATGCAATGTAGGCATTTATTACTATAAACTTTCCTCTTAAAATTGCTTTTACTGCATCTCACAAAATTTGCTATGTTGTATTTTTATTTTCATTTATCTTGATATAGTTTTAATTTCTCTTTTGATATTTTCTTTGACCCAATGGCTGTTCAATACTTTGTTGTATTTATGCATTTGTAATTTTTTCAATTTTCCTTTTGTTACTGATTTGTGGTTTTATATTACAGTTGTTAGAAAGGATAGTCAGTGACTTTTTTAATTTGTTAGAATTTATTTTGTGATCTCACATATTATTTATTCTAGAGAATGTTCCATGTGAACTTGCGAAAGATGTGTATTTAGCTGCTGTTGGGTGAAATGGTCTGTATATGATTGTGAGGTCCATTTGGTCCACAATGTTGTTCAAGTCTGGTATTTCCCTATTGATTTTATGTCTGGTTGATCTGCTCATTATTATAAATGTGATATTGAAGTCTCCTACTGTTGTAATGCTATTTCTTCCTTCAGATATTGGATGCATTTATATCTATAATTGTTATATATTTGTATGGAAGTTACTTTTTTACCATTATGTCATGACATTATTTGCCTCTTGTGACAGTTTTTGACTTAAAGTCTAATTTATCTGATAAAAGTCCAGCCACCCCCTTTTTTGGTTGCCATTTTCTAGGAATGTCTTTCATCATCATTACATTTTTTAGCTTATATGTATCTCAAAATCTAAAGTGGGTGTCTTGCAGGCAGTAGATAGTTGAATGTTGTTTTGTTTTGTTTTTATCTGTTCTTCTAATTTATGTTCTTTATTCAATGAGTTTAATCCATTTACATTTAAACTAATCATTTATAGATAAGGATTTGCTATTATCATCTTGTTTTTTTCTGTTTGTTTTGCAGTTCTTTGTTCCCTCTTGCTGTCTTCTTTTGTGATTTGATAATTTTTTGGAGTAATATATTTTGATTCTTTTATCTTAATCTTTTTTTGTGTCTGCTATACATTTTCTTTTTGTGTACAGTTACCATGAGGCTTGCTTACTTCTTATTATTAGAGCAGTCTATTTTGAACTGCTAACAACTTGACTTTAATCACACACAAAAACTCTCCAGTTTCATTCTCGAAGCATCCACTTGGTATTATCGATGTCAGAATTTACTTCTTTTTACATCGTTTGTTGTGGTTGTATCTGTTCTTAATACTATGTCTACTAAAACTAATATTTGGGTTAAAAGTGATTTATGCACCACTGTCTTATATTATACACCAATGTTCTATTGTTATAACAATGTTCTATTGTTATAATGTTATGTTTTTATAACAATGTTCTATTGTTATAATGTTATATCGTTACAACAATGTTCTATTTTTATAATGTTATATCGTTACAACAATGTTCTATTGTTATAATGTAATATCGTTACAACGATGTTCTATTGTTATAATGTTATATCGTTACAACGATGTTCTATTGTTATAATGTTATATCGTTACAACGATGTTCTATTGTTATAATGTTATATCGTTACAACGATGTTCTATTGTTATAATGTTATATCGTTACAACGATGTTCTATTGTTATAATGTTATATCGTTACAACGGTGTTCTATTGTTATAATGTTATATCGTTACAACGGTGTTCTATTGTTATAATGTTATATCGTTACAACGATGTTCTATTGTTATAATGTTATATCGTTACAACGATGTTCTATTGTTATAATGTTATATCGTTACAACGATGTTCTATTGTTATAATGTTATATCGATATAACAATGTTATATCGTTATAACAATGTTATATTGTTATAATGTTATATTGTTATAATGTTCTTAAAATGTTGTGTTATTATAGTTTCTGTATTTATGTATATAATTACCTTGACCAATGATACTTATACTCCAATATGCTTTTGTGTTGCTGTACAGTATCCTTTTGTTTCAACTTGAAGATCTCACTTCAGCACTCTTTGTAAGGCTGATACAATGGTGACGAACTGTCTTTGTTTTTGTCTAGAAAGTATTGATTTCTTCTTTATTTTTAAAGGACAGTTTTGCTGGGTAAAGTTTTCTTGTATGGCATTTTTTGTTGTTCTTTCACCAATTTGAATATGTCATTCTCTGGGTTGCAAGGTTTCTGCTGAGAAATTCACTTTTAGGTTTAGGTAAATTATCTTTTATGTAATGAGTCAGTTTTCTCATGCTACTTTTAAATTCTCTGTCTTAGACTGGAAAATAAGATTATAATTTTTGCTTTGCTGTGAATTTATTTGTAATCAGATTATTTGGGGATACTTTGGGATCTTTGAATCTGTATGTTCATTTCCCTCTCTGGATGTTTGAGTTATTTTTTAAAATAAGCTTTCTTCCTCTTTCTGTTTCCTCCCTTCTTAGACTTCAATCATGCATATATTGATTAGTTCATTTGATGGTTTTCCATAAGTCTCATTGGCTTTCTTTACTGTTTTTCATTTTAATTTTTGTTCCTTTTACTGGGTAATACCAAATGACCTGTATTCTAGCTTACCAGTTATTTCTTCTATTTGATTGGATTGGTTGTTGAACACTCAACGATTTTTTTTAGTTCAATAATCATATTCTTTGGCTCTAGAATTTTTGCTTGGTCCTACCCCTGTATTAAATTTCACATTTAGTAGCCATGTTGCCCAAAGTAGCTTATAGATTCAATGCTATTCCCATTAAACTACCATTGACATTCTTTATGGAACTAGAAAAAACTACTTTAAAATTCACATGGAAACCAAAAAGAGCCCATATTGCCAAAACAATCCTAAGCAAAAAGAACAAAGCTGGAAGCATCAAGCTACTCAACTTCAAACTACACTACAAGGCTAGAGTAACCAAAACAGCATGGTACTAGTACCAAAATGGGCACATAGACCAATGAAACAGTATAGAGATCTCAGAAATAGAACCACACATCTACAATAATCTGATCTTTGACAAACCTGACAAAAGCAAGCAATGGGGAAAGATTCCTTATTTAATAAATGGTTCTGGGAAAACTGGATAGCCATTTGTAGAAAATTAAAACTAGACTCTTTCCTTACAGCTTATACAAAAATTAATTCAAGATGGATTAAAGACTTAAATGTAAAACCCCAAATTCTAAAAACCCTGAAGGAAAACCTAGGCAATACCATTCATGACATAGGCATGGGCAAAGATTTTATAATGAAAACGTCAAAAGCAATTACAACAAAAGCAAAAATTGTCAAATGGGATCTAATTAAACTAAAGAGATTCTGCACAGCAAAAGAAACTATTATCAGGGTGAACAGACAATCTACAGAATGGGAAAAAATTTTTGCAATCTATCCATGTGATGAAGGTCTAGCATCCAGAATCTACAAGAAACTTGAACAAATTTACAAGAAAAAACAGCCCCATTAAAAAGTAGATGAAGGACATGAACAGACACTTTTCAAAAGAAGATATTTATGTGACCAACAAACATGAAAAAAAGCTCAACATCACTGATTATTAGACAAATGCAAATCAAAACCACAACGAGACACCATCTCATGCCAGTCAGAATAACAATTATTGAAAATTCAAGAAATAACAGGTGCTGGCAAGGGTGTGGAGAGATAGGAATGCTTTTACACTGTTGGTGGGAATGTAAATTAGTTCAACCATTGTGGAATACAGTGTGGTAATTCTTCAAAGACCTAGAACCAGAAATACCATTTAACCAAGCGAGCTCATTACTGGGTGTATACCCAAAGGAATATAAATCATTCTATTATAAAGATACATACAAATGTACATTCGTTGCAGCACTATTCACAATAGCAAAAACATGGAATCAACCCAAATGCCCACCAATCATAGACTGGATAAAGAAAATGTGGTATCATATATACCATGGAATACTATACAACCATAAAAAGGAATGAGATCTTGTCCTTTGTAGGGACATGGATGAAGCTGGAAGCCATTATTCTCAGCAAACTAACACAAGAACAGAAAACCAAACACTGCATGCTCTCACTTACATGTGGGAACTGAACAATAAGAACACATGGGCATAGGGAGGGGAACAACACACACTGTGGCCTGTTGTAGGTGGCAGGTGGAGGGACTACATCAGGATAAATAGTTAATGCATGTGGGACTTAAAATCTGGGTGATGGGTCAATTGTGTAGCAAACCAGAATGGCACACATTCATCTATGTAACAAACCTGAATATCCTGCACATATATCCTGGAACATAAAATTAAATTAAATTAAGAAAATACAAATAAAAATAAAAAAATAAACTTTGTATTTTGTTCATGTATTGTTTTCTGATTATATTTTGTTCATTGCTTTCTGTCATCTTGTAGCTCACTGATTATCTTCAAGCAATTATTTTGAATTCTTTTTTGACAGTTTTTTGATTTCCATTTTTTTTAGGGTCAGTAACAGCAGCTTCATTTTTTTTTTTTTTTTTTTTTTTTGGTAGCATCATGCCTCCTTCATTCTTTATGACTCTTTATCTTGCACTGGTATTTATGCATTTGAAGAAGTAATTAACTCTTACATCCTTTACAGACTGGCTTCAGCAGGGAAACCTTTTTTACCAGTCAGGTTAGCCAGATTGTCTGGGTAAGCTGGCTGGAGGAGTCTATGGGACACTGGGTCTATTGCCAATTTATTCAGGTGGGCCTATAGTCAGGTACATGGGTGCAGGCCTGGTGTCTAGATCTGAAGGTGGCCCTCATTTCAGAATCTGCAGAGAAGTCAGATGCTTACTTTGCTGCCACTTTCTTTCACGGACAAACTCATGGACTGAGAGTTATCTTTTTTTTTTCTTTTTTGACACTGCGTTATGTGAGTTTTTGAGAGGGGGGAATTGTGTGAGCAAAACTGTTTTTCTTACCCTCTTCAATATCTTTTATCATTTCTGTACTCTAATTGGGTAAAGAATCCTCTCACCTGGATCACCTGGATTCTGGAGCTCTCATGAACGTATTTTTGTTTGTAAATGATTGTTCAATTGGAGTCTCAGTGGGAGGACGAGGATTGGAAACTCTTTTTTTTTTTTTTTTGAGAGAGAGAGAGTCTCGCTGTTTTTGCCCAGGGTAGAGTTCAATGGCACAATCTCGGCTCACTGCAACCTCTGCCTCCCAAGTTCAAGCGATTCTCCTGCCTCAGCCTCCCAAGTAGCTGGGATTACAGGTGTGCACACCATGCCCAGCTAATATTGTATTTTTAGTAGAGAGGGGGTTTCACCATGTTGGTCAGGCTGGTCTCAAACTCCTGACCTCATGTGATCCACTCGCCTTGGCCTCCCAAAGTGCTGGGATTACAGGTATGAGCCCGACCATGACTGGAAACTCTTATTCCACCATCTTGCTGATATCAATCCCCCAAATTCCTTTAATGTGAAGTTCCTGCCAGTGTTACTTCTTCTTCAACAACTTTGTCTTTATTTTGATCACTTTCCTCATTTATGTAAGTAGATTCACTTCATTCAGTTTCTGTGGCTACACATCTATATTTTCTTGAACAGTGTTGGTGTTAATACTCCCACAGCTGGCTATTTATTTCCATAACTCCATTTTAATTCAATTCAAATTTTATTTCTAATATATCACTTATCATTTATTTGTTGCATGTATATACATATATATATATATATATATATATATAATTTTTAACCAAATCCTTCATTTTAATTATCCATACTGACTTACCACATGAAGACAAGGAAGAAGCACAACTTCATGCTTTGCTGCCTGTGTGGGAACTAAATAACAGATGCAGTTACTTATTACCAGTG
The DNA here is from genome assembly GCF_000001405.40 of Homo sapiens. Classification (NCBI taxonomy): domain Eukaryota; kingdom Metazoa; phylum Chordata; class Mammalia; order Primates; family Hominidae; genus Homo; species Homo sapiens. The sequence continues at coordinate 49,530,733 of NC_000007.14, read as the reverse complement.
GACTTTGTAATAAGTGCTATAATTGGTCACTAATCATAATCCAAATCTGTTATTTATATTGTGATTTGTGGACTAAAGAACTGGAAGAAAGTTCGTACTCTATTCAACTACTGCCAGTTAATATACCATGAAGTTGAATCATGCTGTTTGGGAACTGGCACTATTTAACATTTGACAATTTTTATTGATATATTTTTATATTCACTAACCTTTCTATCTTTGATATCCAATCTCCTATCAGTCACATTCAGTATAGATTTTAAAAACTCAGACAGTGAAATTTTCATATATAATTTTGAATTTTGGTCTTTTTTATATCTTCAGTATCACTACTTAACGTTTTTAACATGTAGAATAGTTATATCTGTTTAAGTCTCTATGTGCTAAATCTAACGTCTGTTCAGTTTGTTTCAATAGATTTAATGATGTACTCATTACATTGCATAGTTTCTTACTTCTTTATATACCTAGTGATATTAGATTGGATGTTAGAAATTACACATCTATCTTCTTTTGTGCTGGTTATTTTTGTATTTCCATAAATATTCATTAGCTTAGTTCTCAGATGCAATTAAATTATTTTTAAATGCTGTGATCTTTTCAGGTCTAATTTTTAATAATTATTGAGTGGGACAAAACTAATCCTAATTATTCTTTACTACTGCATTAACACACATCTGCATGCTTCCCCAATGTCTTAGGAATTATCAGTCTTTCCAGTCTGGCTTGAAATAACAGGCATTGTTTCTGGACCTGTTGTTTGAATCACACAGTTTCCTCTAGTTGTTTTAGGCATTTATTTCCCAGCCTATCATATTTTCCTCAGAAATATATGTGATTAGTACTTAGATGACTACTTGAAGGCAAACCTCTGAGGATATTCAGAGTTCTTTCTTTACATAGCTTTCTTCTCTCTGATACTCCTTTTTTATGGTCTCTTCAGAGTGCCGGCTATATTTATTTAACTCAGAAAATTCCCTGGACTCTCTCTGGGTTTCCCTCACCTGTACTCTAACTTGTACCTACTCTCTCACTGGAGTGAGCTGGCAGATTGTAGCCCTCACTTCATTTGCTTAACATCCTTCAGGGATAACTGTCCATTGCTTTCTCAAATTCCTTGTCTTAAAACCATCACTTGATATAGTTTATCAATTTTTTGGTTGTTTCAGGAAAAAGGTTAAGTTCTGCCTCTATTATTTCATTTTAGTTGAAAGTGTAAGTCTCTCCAATCTATTGTTTGTTATTAAAGCAGCATTTTTATATTGCTAATCAGATTAACCTATCTTATAGCAAAACGCACACACGCAAACATGCACCCACACACCACAACAGTTCTACCTATGGGGAATTATAAAAAAACCCTCACAAAGGTTTCTGAAGTACTTGCAGTTTATGAATTATGTATTCTTGCTTCTAACCATTCATACATTTTTATCCTTGCTTAGCATACCCTTTCCATTGGTTGGTTGATACCTGATTTTACATATACAAGGGACTCTTGAACATTAGTTTGAACTGCAGGAGTCCACTTATCTGCAAATTTTCTTCCATCCCTACCACCCCTGAGAAAGCAGAAGAACCCCTCTCTTTTCTCCTCCTCAGTCAACTCAGTGTGAAGACAATGATGAAGACCTTTATAATGATTTACTTCCACTTAATGAATAGTAAATATATTTTCTTTTTTTATGTTTTTTTTCTTTTTCTTTCTTTTTTGTTTTTAGAAGGAGTCTCACTCTGTCACCCAGGCTGGAGTGCAGTGGCATGATTTTGGCTCACCACAACCTTCGCCTCCCGGGTTCAAGCAATTTTCCTGTCTCAGCCTCCAGAGTAGCTGGGGCCACAGGTGCCCGCCACCATACCTGGTTAATTTTTGTATTTTTAGTAGAGATGGGGTTTCACCATATTGGTCAGGCTGGTCTCGAACTCCTGACCTCAGGTGATACGCCTGCCTTGGCCTCCCAAAGTGCTGGGATTAGAGGCATAAGCCACTGCACCCGGCCTGATTTTCTTAATAGCATTTTCTTTTATTGTAATAAATTACAATAAATTATTGCTTAATTTACTGTGAAAATATAGTGTATAGTACATATAGGATACTAAATATATGGTAATCAGTTGTTTATGTTATTGGTAAGGCTTTTGGTCAACATTTGGCTATTAATAGTTCAGTTTCGGGGTAGTCAAAAGTCATGCACAAATTTTCAACTATAAAAGGGATCTACACACCGAACCCCTGCATTGGTTAAGGGACAATTGTATTCACGAGTCTTCATTTAAATGTCTCTTTAAGAAACCTTCAATGACCACCAAAACCAGTTAGATCTCCTTCTTTTCAAAATCCATAACCTCCTGTACTTTATCCAAGATAGCATCATAAAACATTGCATTTTCATTGCTTACTTGCTTAATTTTTCATTTGTATGTTGACTGTGATTTCCTTTCAGGTGTGGCTGAGAATTTTTACCATACCATGTTCCCCTAGCATAATTCATAAAGCATGACAAAAGCCCAGAAACAATTATTGAACTTATGAAATTATAAAATGTATTTTTTATTTGGAGCATTTCAAGTAAGTTCCTACCCAAGAAAGAAACGTTAAGCATATTTTAATCTCTGACCTCCTTGAAAATGTCAACGATAAAGCAATCCACTTGACTGTGTGTGATATGATTTGGCTGTATGTCCCCATCCAAATCTTACCTTGAATTGTAATTCGAATTGTAAACCCCACATGTTGGGGGAGGGACCTCATGGGAGGTGATTAGATAATGGAGGTGGTTCCCCCATGCTGTTTTGTGATAGTGAGTGAGTTTTCATGAGGTCTGATGGCTTTATAAGGGGCTTTTTTCCACCTTGCTCTGCACTTCTCCTTCCTGCCGCATATGAAGAAGGCCTTGTTTGCTTCCCCTTCCGCCATGATTCTAAGTTGCCTGAGGCCTCCCCAGCCCTGTGGAACTGTGGGACTGTGGGTCAATTAAACCTCTTTCCTTCATAAATTACCCAGTCTGGGAAGATCTTTATAGCAGCATAAGAATGGACTAAAACGGTGTGCTTGAAGAATCATTTTTGGAATTGAGCAAAATCGGCTGATTTAAGCCTTAGCACTCACACTGTTGAATAATATAATTATTTATCCTTTATCCTAATTAACCTCTTCAAGTCTCTTAAAAACCTGACAACATTTAGGAAGTATAGGTTATTTTTATGTTTTAATCTACACCAGATGATTCATCTAAAAATCAACTAATTCAATCACTATAGTTTAAATGAATATAGACTCTGATTTTTGGATGATGTTCTCATAAACACCAACCAACCAGAGTATGAGTCATAATATCTCTAAGGTATTTAAGCAATCAAGCCCCAGAGCCAGCAGGAAGAAAAGTTAACTAACATAACTCATCCAGGACACAGACATTATTGGAAATGTAATTTCTGCTTCAGCAGTGCATTTTGAGGGATGCTAAAAGAATTACAGTGAAAGTCTGAGAGAATAATCGTGTTCTTATAAGTTCAATATTGGATAGAGCAGTTCCTTTGAAATAAATATAACCGAGTAAAACTATTGAATATCCTTAAACATATAAAATATCATGCTTCTACATACACGTTAAAGCATGATCAGAGGTTGTGGCATCTGTGTGCATTTGTACATGAGGGACTGTGAGAGTCAAAGATAGGAAAAGAGCAAGCGAGTGATTGTAGCCACTTCAGAGTTCAAAGATGGGTTGATATTTCTAGGAAAGTATAAGTACTATTACATTCCTACCAAATATAGTTACATCAAGGTTGAAGCTGTGAAAAGATAGTCTTATCCTAATTGAGTAGCTCTTGTAAGGTGTTTAGTATTATACTTAATTTAAAATGAGATATAAATTAGAAACACGCCACTTAAAATTGCATATGCTTTTTTAATAAAACATAAGCCTTATGATCTCTTTTGAACACACCACATCCATTATTTAATTTAGTTTGCTTTTAACTTGTAGACACATGGAAAGTGCATTAATGCAGAACCCCAAAGGAATCCAGAGACATTTGGAAAAATACTGATCTGTAAGTCCATCCCCACAAAGTCTAACTGAATGACCTTGAGTACAGTCTAAGTGTCAGCACATTTATAGTCTCCTCAGGGGGTTCTAAGGTATGACTAAGGTGGAGAAACACTCTGTAAAAGGAATATAGGCTTCCAAGCATGAATTTTAAGGATTTTACAATAAATTTTATTTATGAATATGCTTTTTTTTCTTTCTGTATAATTTGAATTTTAGCAGTTAAATAGATTTCACACTAAGGAAGAAATATGCAAATTTTCTCTAGCACTTCCACCCTAAATATCTCCCATTAAATGTGATAAGAAATATTTTTCTTAATGTCATTCGTGAGTGGCAAATATAGCAATTATCAAGACCTGTATAATCTTTAAATCCCTTTAATATTCAACCCAATATTTCCAGTTACTTATAGCCATAGGCTTTCTACACCAAGCTTGCTTATTTGCAGTGATATGTCTTAGTTGAAGTGATATAAGTAGTTAAAGGCAAGGGAAACAAAGCTATGTCCTTTAGAGAGCTTGAGGTCAAGGGGATAGACTGGAAACCCAGAGGGATAAATGAGATGACTCCTGAAGATAGAATGTAAAAGGTAAAGGGGTGAGAGAATAGTATCTCTGAAGCAGTTGAAAAAAAAAAAAAAAAAAAGACATTGACAGAGTTCTCATTAGAAGAAATTAGGTAAATTTTAATCCCAACCAAGTGCTGCCATTGGAGAAATAGTATTTGGCTGGACCCTCAGGGTCTCATATGTGATAATTCTGTCTTCACACAGCCACCTATTGCAGTTTGCAGTCTTTAAAGAGGATATGTGAATGGAAGACAAAGTTTGCAAACTTAACTGTTTGTTTTACCACAAATTACAGTGATTTATCTTGCCTCAATTTCTAGTGATTTATCTTAGATGGCATGGGTATCTGGTTTTGTCTAACTTGTAACTAGCCTAAGTGGCTTAAAATAACTAAGAGAAGATCAAGAGACATTCTGAGCCTTTTTGATCTTAAATCTATACCCAAATCTTGGTGGCCTGTTAGATCTTGGTATTCTGAAGATGAAGGTAACTGATTCTGTGAAAAATGTGGCAGGCAAAATGCAAAAGACAGGGTTGACCTGAGAGGCTTAGAGCAGAGTGTATTTCCTCTGCCCACATGGGTCTCCCTAAACCAGATGGATGCCACAGGTCATCATGCCACACTTACCACTTGGAGAAAAGAGGGTAGGAGGTAAGTAAGTTGATAAAGAGACCTCTGCTGAATACATTCAGAGCCTTCTCCTCTTCTCTCACAGTGCACACTCTACCACCAGGTACCCTGAGTCAACGTTTCCTCTTAATCTATGACTGACTTAACACATGTTGTAAAGGACACAGTATAGACTTTGAATCCCACTGTAAACCATTAGGTACATTTCGCTAAATAATAATGTTAAAAAAAATGTGTCTTCCATCCAAATATAAATTGAGCATGCGTCAGACATCATCCTCAAATCATAAAATAATGAGGAAACACATATGCTGTTAACAGCAGTCCAAAAAACAATTGATAACCAAGATATAGATATATGGACAATTTAGTAGATGCATGGATTAAGTGCAATGTTGGTTAATATGCAACAGGGCTATAAACCATGCTATTTGGGATTATATATTCAATTGGATGGAAATTATTTGCAGCTCTACTGGATAAAAATCTCCAAGGTATCCTAAGCCCTCACATAGTTGTAAAATAGCCTATTGATTAGAAAGTTAACACCAGTGCTGCACTAAAAGAAAACTTAGTCTTTTTTGATGGCCTATTTCCAAGTGTCAGATAATTTTTCTTAGTAGTTTGGTATATTTGTTTGGCTTGAAATTCTGCATGAGGTGGTGGGAGCAAAGGGAACCAAAGGAAGAGACTTTCATTATTCCAGGCACTGTGTTGAGAACTTCACATACTATAGCTCATTTACTCCTCACCACACAGTAGGCATTGCAAGCTCACCTTTATTGGTGTAGAAAATCTGGCTTAAAGAAGTAAGTAGGCCAGGCCCGGTGGCTCACACCTGTAATCTCAGCACTTTGTGAGGCAGAGACAAGCGGATCACTTGAGGTCAGGAATTCAAGACCAGCCTGGCCAACATGGTGGAACCCCGTCTCTACTAAAAACACAAAAATTAGCCAGTCCTGGTGGAGCATGCCTTTAATCTCAGCTACACGGGTGGTTGAGGCAGGAGAATCGCTTGAACCCAGGAGGCGGAGGTTGCAGTGAGCCGAGATCATGCCACTGCATTCCGACATGGGAGACAGAGTGAGACTTTGTCAAAAAACAAACAAACAAAAAACAACAACACGTAACTTATTCACAGTACCTTGAAGTCTTGAAGTTAGGGAAGGTGGTAATAGGTCTATCCAATTTCAAGATCCTTAGTTTCTTCCATCACAGCCTCCTGCTTTTCCTAAGGAAATGTGTGTTCCCAACCAAAATGACATCCACACTGGAAACTTCCACTTAGTTTCTGCAAAAACATGATTTAGAGCACACATTTTTTTGGTCTCAACCTCAATTCTGTGTCACTCTTCAAATAGATTCTGACCTGTTTCTAAATTCCCAGGTTCTTTACTTTTGCTTATTCTGGATGATGAGTCAGGCACTCTATCCTGGCCACTTTCACTTCGGCTGCCTCTGGCAAACACTTCTGGGAAGTAAGAAGTTAAGGAGCTGCTTCAGGGAAAAAAGAAGGATATTCAGTTAAATCTCCTTATAACTGTGCTTCACTGGCAAATGAACTAATAGTGTTTGCTAGGGAGAGGAGAAAATCCTTATCAATGGGAAGCTTTGAGTGGGCTGTGCTTGGTTGTTTAGTATTGCTCATGATACATACACTTGGGATCCATGAAGTTATAAGGCATGATACTGAAGAAAATGTCATGTAAGCTAGATAACTATCTGAGTATGAACTGAAGATGTTTCTTGACCCAGGTGCCTTTCTTTCCCCTGAGGATGTAGCTATATATATTATTTAGAGACCTTATATGCAAATAGAGCCAGTGTCCAGTGTAGTGAGAAAAGACCTAGGGACCTGTGGGCAACACTCCAGACCTCACTATGCTTCACTACACTTCGTGGTTACTTGTACCCTTGAAATTATGAATATGCTTTGGCGCTGACAAAGATCTGAGATTTTCGTGAGTCTTATTTGAAAACCTGATCCTGTTTTATCTCAATTGCTTCCTAAATTTGGCTAAGAAATTTATGGGCCACCATTTACAATTGTGTAGATTGGGTACTGCACAACTCTAGGGGTCTCTATTTACATTGTAGACTATGAACAGTTGGTTCTGCTATAGCACAGGCTGAGTGATCACATGCAGCATTTCTCCTGCAGAATAACCCAGGCTTCAAAGGAAAGGAGTAGGCAACAGAGGTTTCCATATTGTTAATTCCCTTTGACATTTTATAAAAACCAAGAAAAATTGTTACATTAATAAGAAAAGTGTTTAAAATATAAAATTGATTTTAATGCATGTTATGAATGTACAATCCTAAGTTAGAGGGTTCTGATGGATACCTTTGTAATCTAACTATAAAATCTATTATACATTTAATATTCATATTCTGTTAGGGATGGCTCACACTCTGAAGAAACTAACTGTGAGTTATGCCATTACCTGCCTCAATGTCAGAGGAACACCATATGATACTGAACACGACCACTGAAAACAGAGAGGAGCACCATACAAGTAGAAATAAATATCAACATTATCAAAAAGCCAACTACCTCCTGACCTTGAGTTGTAGTCAGCAATTTGTTTGTTTAATGTAAAGGCCAAAGAATACATATTTTAGATATTGGGGAATTTAGGCCTCTGTTTCAACTACTCATCTCTGCCAGTATAATGAGAAAGCAGCCATAGACAATGCAAAAATGGATAATCATTCCATTGTTGTTTACAAAAAGAGGCAGTGGCCCATTGTTGACAGCAGGTCTAGCGGGGAGAGTGCATCTGTTGATGAATGGCCATTCCAGGTACTCTAGAGAAGGGAATAAGGTTCATTTTGGAGATGCTGCCCATGGCAGCTCTTGGAGATGACTTATATGTAGATAAAGGGTTAAATTTTATAACCTGCAGATTGTTTGGTGTGCCAGCAGGACTGGCTCTGAAGCAATCTTCAGTCTCTGAGAAGACTGGGTTTCCTGTGGTAATGTTAATATCAATCTTGGTAAAAATTTCACACCTTATGAATGTGACACATGGCTGTAGGAGAACGTATTGTGTGTCCTCACTCTCACCACCATCTTTCCAAAGCTCAGGATTACATTCATCTTGCTGATCTGTGGGAAAGTGTATAAACCCAGTGTGCAATGGTGAGACTTGGTAGAACTCTGCTCTTGGACAAACAAATAGTTTGGGTGACTCACAGGGAAAAGGACTGGGCCTGGGGCTGATTCCCAGAGTAGTGGCAGAAGGTGGAATTCTCAAGGAGATTGATGAGATAGATTCAGAAACTTACGTTCATTTGAAATGTTTGGGACTGAGCTGAAATTCAGGGTCAGAGAGATGCCTTTGATCAAAGGCAGACATATAAATGAGAGTAGAATCAAGAATCAGACAAAGGGAAGAAACAGATCAAACAGGTTCCTGATTGGGTGCAAGGGAAGATGCTCTAGTGATCATTGGAAAGCCCCCTGGGTGGTTGTAATCTACAAAATGCCTCTGTGCCAGGGTAACCTAGGAAGTACAAGGGTGATGTTATTTAATGTAGTTAACTGTTCCTTGAAAATAACAATCAGAACATGCTAGTAAGGTTTTCCATTTTCAAGTGATTTAAATTTCTTTTCCCTAACTTTTATTACTTTTTTTTTTTTTTTTTGCTGTGGCAGGGTGTGTTTTCAAAGTGAAAGGATTCTGCATGGAGCACAGGAGTTATTTAAATAAGCAAGGCACCCATCCTCGTTTATTTACATGTGTTGTGTTCTTGACACCTTCTCCTGAGGTGACTCCTCTGGCCCTTCATAAACTTCATGGAGTTGATTTCAGAATAAATCTAGGCCTTGTATTCTCCTCACAAGTGAACAATGGTAGCACTCATATCTGTTTTGCTAGGAAGAGCATACTTCAACTCTGTTTTGTATACCTACATCATGACAATGGGCCTCGAACTGATGCTGTCAACTTTCAGGTATCATAATCTGAATCTTTAAGGTATGTATGTTGGATTTAGAACAAGTAGTAGAAGAATACCATTTTTTTTTTTGAATGGGAGAATTCTGTGTTATGCTCTTCTTTTTTAATGTGATGAGTAAAGATTTGGATCTGTTTCAGGATTTAAATGGATAAGCATCCTTTAAAAAAACAAAACATTTTTAACTTAGAAATGCCAATTCACTTGGCTTCCCAGAATGATTTGCAAATGCAAAGCACTTCCTCTGAGTAAATGGAGGGTTGTTATGGTATTCAATAAATAGTGTGGGCTGAGGCAAAAGGAGAAAGCCTCCATCCTTCCAGAGGAGTTTAGCTCATCAAGAACATAGGCATGCAGTCAAGTCCCTGTGAATGATGTGGTTTCTACACGAATCCCTTCCATTAGAATTTGGGTTATGTGGGAGTAGAAGTGTCATCTAAGGAGGCCAGCTGTCTTCTTAGGCTGTGCCATTTATAGGATTCTTGTGATCTGGATTCTTGTTCTCAGCTTTGCAGTTTCAGCATTTTGCAGTTTTAAAGACATTCAGAGTTGATCAGATGCAAGGAGAAAAACAGACGCTAAGCAAGTACCAGGAGACTGGCTTATCCATCAAAGACTGATCTGCAAAACTGAATGGGAGAGACCCTTTCCCAGTGTGTGGGATGCTCTGTCTCCTGTGAAGAAATTTCATCCATGGTAGCATGAATGTGGAATCATAATAATATAATTTCAGATGTTTATCAACCTGTGACCATGTGCTAGTTCTCTACATTTTATATGTCAGATCTTATTTAAAACTCAACAATCAGTAAAGTAGATACTGTTATTTTCACTAATTTCCAAAGAGAAGTGGAGGCTTTTGTCAGCCAGAGGTGACAGAGCTGGTGAGCGGTGTGTTTTGTTGTGACCGCAGCAGGCTGGCTTTAGCTCTCTCTTAACCCTTAGCACACATGCAAATGAGCATCCAGATACTATACCTTCCGTCAAACACTGATCAATGCAATGCTACCCTTCGGGGCTCATAAGGCCAAGTGAGATGTTTGGTCCTAACTGAGACTTGTTTTTAAGGTTTTTTAAAGATTGTCTTTTGCACAGTGATTTGGAAATTATGCATTCACCAGTAAAGGTAACAGTTTGTTTCATTTCAGTGTTCAGTTCACTTCAATTCAACTCAATTCAGCTTTCATTGAGCAGCATGTGCTATATAGTTAATACTGGATGCATATTATTTCATCAAATCCTCTCAATAGCCTGATAATGCCCTTTTGGTATATGAAGAATTTAGGCTCAAATATCTTACTTAATTTCCTCCAAATCTGACAGAGTGCATTACGAAATATTGAAGAGAAGTCTTTGAGAAACAAAAGAACCTATTTCTAATCAACCTGCCACCATTTACTATCTCATTGACACTGAGTGATTTATACCTTGGAGATAATATCCCAACCACACAGAGGTGTCATCAAGACAGAAGGTGATTATTCATATGAAAGTACTTTTTAAACACTATGCAGCTATTCTCAGAAAAATTGCTAAGTTAAAATGCTGCAGCCACCTTTGCCTCTAGAACATCATTCAAAAACAAGACAAATGAGAAGGAGGAATTTCAACTCCTGGTACAACAATACTAAGAAAGATACACAATCCTGAAACACAAAATATGAGAAAGGCTGCTGAGCAGAGTGAATTTCAGGTAGGGGTGTGGGAAGGTGTTGAAGTGGAGCTGTAGATTTCAGACAAGCAGGACAAAACTGGAGACTGCTATTCTCCCTGGAAAGAGGGATGCCAGCTGGAGGAGAACAGCTCTGTCCTGTGGACTGCCCTTGATGCTTTGGCCTGGGGAGAAATACAGGCTAAATAACTTACATGGACACAGGTATCTGTGCTACAGACCAGAGAGAATTCCTGCCCATCTAGAACATTGCCTTCTCTCTCTTCCTCACAAACTTTCTGCAAATGGCAGGCCCTGGAAAACTTCATAATTCTCGAATGGGAATAGTGATCGAAACGAAGAATCTAGAGGTTCATCTGTGTTGCAGCACGTGCTAGTACTTCATTTTTATGGCTCAATAATATTTCATTATATGCATATACCACATTTTGTTTATCCATTCATCTGTTGATAACATTAGAGTTGTTTCCACCATTTGGTTATTGCCAGTAGTATTGTTGTGAACACTCATGAATGAGTATTTGAATGTCTGTTTCAGTTCTTCAGAGTATATGCATACAAGTGGAGTTGCTGGGTCATATTGCTTAGATACAGAAAGCAGATTTGTTGTTGCTAAGGGCTGGGGAAGAAGGGCTAATGAAGTGTTACAGGATGTAGGGTCTTCTTTGAGACTAAGGGAAATATTTTGAAACTTGACAGATGGGTTAAGACCAAGTTGTAATTGTATGATTCAGGTACTCCAGAACTGGAAAATAACTAGGTTTTCAAAGCTGCAGGAGTGGAATAAAAAAAACTTAATGCTGACACTGGAAACTCGTACACTTAATTTAGCTACACCACAAATAAGTCTTACAAATTGGGCAAAAAGAAGTTTTTAGATTTCACTAATCTAGAGAAACAGATAATGTGTATACCTGACAAAAATTATTGCAAGGAATTGAAGCTATTCATTAAAATATGCTAGAAGTTAGTTCCAAACATATTTCCTATGATACAAATAAAGCTGTGAAAAAAAATCAGTAAAAAACAAATATGAAAACACAAATGCACCAGAATATAGAGTGCAAAGACAGTTCGTCAAAGGTTTTAACTGGAAGAGCAACACCATTGAGGAAGGGGAGAAACCTCACAAGATTATAGAATATGATGGAGAACAAAATATTAATGGCACCCCTTATGAAGTATAACCAAAATATATACCTGTTTCTTGCATGTAAGATGAAACAGCATAATATATCAATGGTTTACGGTCAAATACTTGTGTAGGTATTAATATGACTTTCTCATTTGTCTTTCTAAAAGAAGAATATCGAGACCATCCTGGCTAACACGGTGAAAACCCGTCTCTACTAAAAATCCAAAAAATTAGCTGGGTGAGGTGGCGGGCATCTGTAGTCCCAGCTACGTGGGAGGCTGAGGCAGGACAATGGCGTGAACCCCACGGGCGGAGCCTGCATTGAGCCGAGATCGTGTCACTGCACTCCAGCCTGGGTGAAAGAGCGAGACTCCTTCTCAAAAAAAAAAAAAAAAAAAAAAAGAAGAATATTGCCATCAGAAGAGAAAGTTAAGAATTCAGTGTTAAGCAATGGCCTAAATGATATGTAGAATTATATAAAAACACATATAAATGCCACTTGGCCAAAAGATTGGAACCCCATTGATTTTACAGCATCAGGAACAGACAGAAGATTATCACTAAAACCAAGAAATAAAGTTTAAGACACAAGATGCTGAAGTACCTAAAACAAAGCTAGAATGTAGGGATGTAGGAGTTGGATAAAGTTTATAGATTCTTCCCAATATAAACTAATGCAAAAAAAAAAATAGAGAGAGATCTCACTGATTGTGCAGGAACAGAATTAGATCCTGACTTTCTTAAGAAAGCCAGTTATAAGGACTGGAATGTAAAAAGCTTAAGACAACAATATAGCATAGGACGTGATTAAATGGGTTGGTTACAAATTTAGACCTGAGATTCAGTGGTTATGCCATGTAAGTGATGGTAAAGTTAATTAAAGTTTTAAGCTATGTAGAAGGCATGATAAATCATACCACCAGAGTGTTAATAAGACCTTAAAGATTTACACAACCAGAGCAAAACCTCATATAAAGCAATTATATGTATAAAATCTTAATATAAAAGAAATAGTGTATAAATATATAATGCCATCTAGCCAATGGGTTGAAAATAATTGGTATGGAAGGACGAAATGAAACAGAATGAGATACATAACCCAAGCATAGGGGTTCTTAAGAGGACCAGAATTAAAAATTGAAAATAATGTTTGTGATAATAAGGGAAATTTTCAAATATATAGAGAAGTAATATCTGGAGAGAAGTAAAAAAGGTCCCACATGGTATTCCTGTTAGATCTATAACTAAACAATCACTCCTGGCATCTGATTTTTGGATAACAGAAGACAAACTCTGCTCTAGATGTAATTGGATTAAATTTGTGGATAATGTTTATGGATATATTCAGTGAGAAATGATTCTTATAATTTGCTTCTAACTCTAAATCTACCACAAAATCGACTTGAGACAATGAAAGCACTGCCTCTTTAGATGAAAAGTAAAGCCAAAAGAACTTGATGTGGCATGTGAGAATGTACATCAAATTATGAATATGACTGACAAGGAGTACACATGGTATTGCCCAGGCAAACAGAAAACTTGGAATACTAAAAGAAAATCTGGATTGCCCCCAAGGGGTGGATTTTCCTACCGTAATAACATTAAGATTTCTGAAGAAATGAGGTAATTGTAAGTATAGCCTCCTCTTCTCTTAATACCACATGAAGGTAAACATTTCTATAAAGAGCCTCTGGGCACCAAATGGAGGAGATAATCAAAAAGACAGTAATGGATACTAAACATGCAAATGTAATGATGGAAAGTACCTTGACAAAGGTAGACATCAGATCCACTGTGTATAGCTATATCACGTCTTGATTTGGATGAGTAGAAACACTGGACCATTTGGAATCCTTTTGTTATTGCTGAGTTAATAACCATATATTCTTCTTCTTCTTCTTTTTTTTTTTTTTTTTTTTTTGAGACAGAGTCTCACTTTGTCACCCAGACTGGAGTACAGTGGCACGATCTCGGCTCACTGCAATCTCCGCCTCCTAGGTTCAAGCGATTCTCCTGCCTCAGCCTCACAAGTAGCTGGGATTACAGGCACATGCCACCATGTCCGGCAAATTTTTGTATTTTCACTAGAGACAGAGTTTCACCATGTTGGTCAGGCTGGTCTCAAACTCCCGACCTCGTGATCCACCTGCCTCAGACTACAAAAGCGCTGGGATTACAGGTGTGAGCCACCGCACCTGGCCAATAACATATTATTCTAACAGGCACCATGACAATATTGTTGACACTAATAAGCAAAGAGAGAAGACTCTTAGGTCCTTTAGATTGGAAACACACACTGTGGTGTGGTCCGTAGGTGTCATTAGCAATCCAGATTGAAAGGGGAATTGATCTAACAGAAATGATCATGATACCCTCTGATTAAAGGTGTATTTTTAATAGCTTTATTGAGGTATAATTTACATACACAAAATTTATCCATTTAAAGTGGACAATTCAATATTTTAAGTATATTTATAGTATGTAACCCTCATAAACTAATTTTAGAACACTTTCATCATTTTCAAAACAACCTTATACCTGTTTAGCAGACACTCCTTATCACCCCTTCTATGCTTGGCACCCCACCTTACCTCCCTCAGCCTTGGCCAAACAGAACTCAACTTTCTGTCTCTATTCATTTACTATATATGACATTTACTATATATGATATCAAAAAGTATGTGGTCTTTTGTCACTAGAACTTTTTTACATAATATTTTCAAGTTTCATCCATAATGTAGCAGGTATCAAGTACTTCATTTTTTATAGAACAACATTCAATTGTATGGGTATTTTACCATAACCTATTCATCAGTTTAAATATGTATATTTGAGGCTAGACATCCTTCAGTGCTTTCTTAACAATGCTATACAGTCTAACACTCCATTACCAAGATTTACTAAAAAGAAAAAACCATCACATAATGATACATGAAGATTTAAGAATGAGACATCCTAGGGTGGGCTGTGTTATGTCAAATTGTAAGCTTGTATATGTTCTCTACGTTTTAATGTACATGTAAACATTTATTTGTTAAACTTAAAACTAGATTTTCTACCAGAAGTGTAACCTTGCTATAAATATATTTCTCTGTTAGAGCCGATCACCTCAAAGTTGTAGATGAGTTGTAGTAAATATGCTTTGTACCAATGAGTTCTGGAATGTACTGTGAAGGATAGTATACTACTGCAATAAATCATATACCTAGCTGTTGCAATGAGATACACAATTTGGGGTAGAATTAAGAAGAATGCAGCTGATGCAACTGTGGGCCAATAGAATGTGAGGTGCATTCAGAGACAGCAGGATCCCTTTAGGTACTATGTGACCCCAACCTTCCTAACTGGCCCAGAACGTTGGTCCTCTACACACCTGGGAGTGTGCTGGGCTGTCTGCAGAGGGCTACATCCTGGCAATAAAGCAGCTCTAATCCCTTGTGAGAACATCCAAGGGTAGAGGTCTCTAGACACATGAGCCAGGAAAGAATAGCAGCAGCCGAGAGAGAGAGTGCACAAGCAGTCCATGATTATGCCATGTACCAGAGTAGGCATCCTCTATCCACTTTCTCTTGGTGTGCTCACAGTGGCTGCTTACTGGAAATAGATGAGTAAAAGCTGTGCCAACTAAGTAGTGTATGTGGGCAATTTCTCTTGGTATTGCTTATTTGTAGACATCTCGAAGAGAGGGCTTTATGACCTTAGGGGGTTTATTGCTTGGAAAAATACAGGTTGCCTCTCCTAGGAGAAATGGGTGGTAGTAATTAGGAGAGGTAGGAGAGGGAAGTCAACTTATTTTTTACTACATATCATCTTGCATATTAGGTACTTTTACTGTAAATGCCTAATCCAAACATCTATTTAATATAGGTTATAAAAAATAAAATGTTCTAATATTTAAGCAAAATAAGTTTTAAGAAAATTCCCAGTCCTGGTATTGAGGAATGAGTGGGCACAAGCTAGCATAATGTTGTGTTTTGTTTGGGTTTTAGTCTGTTTAGGTATAAACAGTTTTGTGGACAATTTGGGCCCTGGAATCAGAGAAACTTGGATTTATATCCCAACTGTGTTGAGTAACCTTAGACAAGTTTTTAATCTCTCTGAACCTCTCTTTTTTCACCTGTAAAATAAGGATGAGTATTCCTACTATAGATAATTATTATAAAGTGTAAGTATATGAATAATCATAGCATGATGTTTGACACATGATTGATGATCACTAAATTATAATTTTCATCTTCACTCTTGAAACGAAGTGTTTAAGTCCCATTGATCAGGAGAAAGACTTAAAGTTAGAGATAACTAGAAGAAAAGATTTGAAGACAACAGATAACATAGGCGTGACAAATGAGCTTTTATTATCACTGGTAGGAAAACTGTTTAGATGTAAGTGTGAACTAAGAAGAGACTAAAAGTGACGGCCAGGAAAGCAACCCTAAGATTTTTTCTCTTAGGACTTTTGGGTTGTTTGGTTTGTTGCCTTGGTAACTTCCTGTTCTCTGTTATTGTGTAATGCTGATAATTACACACTAAGGCTATTATGTGAAAAAAGAGTAGTGCAGTTCTCAGAAAGACAAGAAGACGTATTTTGGATTAATGTTTAGTCTTATCCTGGCTGAAAATTGCTACTAATGGATGCTCTTAGATGACCTGAACAATAGAACATTCCCCAGAGTGTCATTATGAACCTGCTCCTTCGATGATGGATCCCTGCTGCCACTGGCTGAACAGTACTACCTCTTTGTGAGATAGAGTAATTAATACAAAGGAAAACCACAATGGGATTGTTGAGAAGGTTCCGTCCAGAGGAAGGGTTGAGATATATATACAAGTGAATTAAATAGCCTGTCATTTAAAAGCCTCTGAACTCAATCAATGGACCAATCATGTTCAGAGTCACTCTGATGTATTCTAGTCTCAAATGGCATTTGTTAAAGGGCCATGAGTTTCCTCTTGATTTTTTCACTACAACTTAGGAAAATACACAAGATTTTAAGCACTTAAAACTGAAATAACATGTAGATTTACAAACAATTTCACAGCAGAGGAGCCAAGGGGTAGAGATTTAAATAACTTGTTTGATGTCATACAGCTTCTAAATGGTGCAGGGGTAGCTTTTGAAATCTTGTTTGTGAGACAACAGAGCCCATATTCTTTCCTGGTATAATATCAAGGCAAATCATAGACATCTTTGGATATAGAAATTCAGAAGACCAAGAGGGCAAGTTTAGAAAGATCAACTCATGCTGGAAAGTACAACTAAACTACTAGGATTTTGTAAGATAAAGCAGTTACCATCAAGAACTCCAGTGTAGGAGATAATGAAGCAAAAATGAATACTGAAGGGCAGATGATAGCATTTACAAATGTTCTCTTACTGGTAAGCTATTTCTTTCTTGCTCTCTATTTAATAATAAGTTTCAGAGAAGAAAGAAGGGCAGAACCATTCAAGGAAGTGGTAAGGTATGACTTAGTAAAATTTTCCTCTCATATAGGAAAAGCAGGTTGTAAAAAATCTCCCCTTTTGACCTTAGGAAGTGTAGGAAAGAAAACACAAAATTTTGAGGAAGCAATTGATGAAACATATGTGTCTTGATCATTTCTTCCTTCACTAAAGTCTGCTTGGGTGTTAGAGACCACTGCACAAGTTACCTCTGAACCAAATCATGGAGGGCAAATTTTTCAGCAAGAGCGGAGGAATGGGCTTTGATAGCAGAACCTAAGATTCATCATGATGTTTATATCTAAACTTCCTACAGGCCCCAAGCCGTCATACGGATGGCGGTTGATCATCTGCCGAAAGAGCCCTATATCCATGTACCTATGGTAGACAGGATTCTATGATAGGACCCCTAGCGAGTCATGCCTCTGCATAGTACCCTGCCCATGAGTGTGGATGGAGCCTGAAATTTGCTTTTAGACAGTAGAGGGCGCGGTGGCTCACACCTGTAATCCCAGCACTTTGGGAGGCCGAGGCGGGCGGATCACGAGGTCAGGAGATCGAGACCATCCCGGCTAAAACGGTGAAACCCCGTCTCTACTAAAAATACAAAAAAAAAAAAAATTAGCCGGGCGTAGTGGCGGGCGCCTGTAGTCCCAGCTACTTGGGAGGCTGAGGCAGGAGAATGGCGTGAACCCGGGAGGCGGAGCTTGCAGTGAGCCGAGATCCCGCCACTGCACTCCAGCCTGGGCGACAGAGCGAGACTCCGTCTCAAAAAAAAAAAAAAAAAAAAAAAAGACAGTAGAAGGTGGTAAAGGTGATGAGATAGTTACTCTCATGATTATGTTACATTACTAAGACTCCATCTTAGCAGATTATAGTGAGGGGTTCTCCTGCTGGCCTTGAAGAAATAAGGCTCCCTGTTTTCAGAGTGCTTATAAGAACTAATGTTGCAAGGACCTGAGGGCATCCTATGAAAGCTGAAAGTAGTCCTTAGACAACAGCAATAAATGGAGGCTTCAGTCCTACTGTCACAGGGAACTGAATTTTGTCAACACCATGTAAGCTTGGAAGGAAATCCAGAGCTACAGAAGGAGCACAGCCTGAACCACCCTTTGAATTCTTGTGAGATCCTGAGCTTAGAACTCAGTTAAGCTGTGCTCATAATTGTGACCCACAGAAACTACATATGTTGTTTTTAGCTGCTAAATTTTTGGTAATTTATTATACAATAATAGGAAACTAATTAACTGTCCAAGTATATCCTGAATAAATTTTATGTATTATGTAGTCATCTTCTAGGAGATTAAAATACAAGTTCTCAGGCAGATATTTAGTCAACAACAAAAAAAATGATCTATGGTCCGAGGAAATTTGGTCATACCACTTAACATAATTGTAGTCTTCAGCAGCCCATAAATGATATGACCCGGAATTAGCACAAAACATTTATTCCATTTGCAGATATAAGCAAGCACATATCTAAGGATCAGGCCAGCTGCCTCACAATGGAATTTAGCCAAAATCCCAGTATAAAAAGTGGCATTCACCCCAAATGACTTCCACAATTTTCTGAGAACTGAAGGTTGTCCAGTATTTCCAGTTCCCATATTCAGTAGGAGATGGCATGGCAGAACAAGAAACAGCACTAAGAGTGGCTTCTTTTTCTTTTATTTAAATGGTGTAATATTCAGCTCATAGAGGATCTTTTAGATAAAAATATCAACTTTGAAAAGTCTGAGGTATGCGCTTGAGAAAATGTGTACTCTACTCCTGTTGGCTCCTATATGTTAGGGCTCATTGGTTTATAGTATTGTTCAAGTTCTCTATTACTTTACTGATTTATTTCTAGATGTTATATCCACTATCGAAAGCAGGATATTAAAATGTCCTGCTATTATTGTAGGGCTGCCTATTTTAGCCTTCAAATCTGTCAATTTTTGCTTCATATATTTTAGAGTCTGTTGTTAGATGCAATGGTGTTTATAATTACCATCTTTTCTCAATGAATTGGCCATTTTTATTCATATTCAATATCTTTCTTTGTCTCATAACAATTTTTGACATAAAGTGTATATTTTTCTGATATTAATCATTCCATGTCTCTTTTGATTATTATTTGCATAGAATATACTTTTCTATCTGCTATGGTTTAAGTGTGTCTCCCAGAAAATTGTGTATTGGAAACCTAATCTTCAATGTAATAGTGTTGAGAGGTGGGCCCTTTATGAGGTAATTAGGTAATGAGGACACCAGCCTCATGAATGAATTAAGGTTGTTATTGTGGGTGTGAATTAGTTATCATGGAAGTAGGTTTCTACTAAAAAAGGATGAGTTTGGCCCAGTTTTCTCTGTCTCATGTGATCACTTCCTCACCATATTATTCCCTTCTACCCTGTTATGATGCAGCAAGATAGCCCTCACCAGATGCAACCCTTTGATCATGGTCTTCCAAGCCTCCAGAACCATGAGCCAAATAAATCTCTTTTCTTCACAAATTATCCAATCTGTGGCATTCTGTTATAGCAGTGGAAAGTGGACTAAGATATTATCCCTTCCTTTCAATCTACTTGTATCTGTGGAATTTCTTGCAGACTTGCAGACAGTACAAAGTTGGGTACTATTTGTCCATCCATTCTGCCCATCTTTGCCTTTTACTTTGGGACTTAAAATTACATTTAATCTAATTATTGGTAGGGGGGACATCCTTCTGCAATTTTGCTATTTGTTTTATATATATATATATATATATATATATATATATATATATATATATACACACATGCAAATATATATGTATATATAGTGTGTGTATATATATAGTGTATACATATAGTATATATATGTGTATGTATATATTTGTTTCTCAGTTGTTTACTGCTTATTTTGTGTTCAACAATTTTTTCAAGTGTACCATTTTGAATCCCTTCTTACTACCTTTACTGTATTTTTAAAAACTTATTTTATAGGTGTTTACTTTGGGATTACAATTAACATCTTAAATTTATAACAATCCAGTTTCAATTAATATTAACTTAGTTTTAATAGTATGGAAAACTGTTCCTATACATTTCCACCCTTCTTTATGCTGTTATTGCCACAAATTACATGTTTGTACATTGTGTGCTCATAGGTGATAACTAGAGTAATTGTGACAGAGAAATACAATTTTGTACCCAATATTATCAATAGGCTTTTGTTTTTTAATAAAAACAAGGGGATGTTTAGGTTTGTCTAAAATAGTGGTATTTTTTTCCAGAATATAAAAAACAGTAGAGAAAGACAGCTTGAGAAAGTTCAGCAAGTTTGAGGAAAATGAATTTTGTTTGCATAGTTTTTTAATATATGAGTCTGAAAATATACTAGCAAATGTCTTAAAAACAGTTGCAGTGAGCCAAGATCACACCACTGCACTCCAGCCTGGGCAACAGAGCAAGACTCCGTCTCAAAAAGAAAAAAAAAAAAAAAAAAAAAAAACAGTTGCAAAGTTTGTTTAGTTACTTAGCTGTTTAAAAGATTGTGCACTTTATATAAAGGCCCTAGGGATTTGTCAGTTCCCTTACTTTTCAGAAAACTGCCTTATTATAGCAGAAACATTAATCAAACCCTTGTGAAATCATTCTATATCGTATGTACTATACTTCATACATAGTTTTACTCTCTTCTGTTATATTATCGATTAATATAATAAACTGACAAGAGTTATTTAGTCTTACTAAACAGGTTTGTGTTTCCCTCTTATGCTTGCCCCAAGACTCTACTATGTGCTGCAAGCTGGAATTTGTGATTTAAACAAAAGCCAGCTTAGGACCCTATGGAAACAGCTGTTGCAGGGACTTAAACTATTGATACTTCAAGGAACAGACCAGAGGGAAAAGAAGTCTAAACTTAATTTGCTTAGAAATTTTTCAGAATGTACTAGTTTAGATTTCCAGTTAGTGACAGAGGTACTTCATGAAAGAAGACTGCTGACTCCACATTCACCAAAACAACAATTAATTGCATAGAACTCAGTGAACTGAGAAAATAAATTTAATTGTGGTTATTTGCTTAGGGTATTGATGATGCATTTTTATTAGAGGTTTATTGAGGTATCACTTACATACTATTAAGATTCAACCACTGTAAGTGGACAGGTTGATGACTTGTAAATTCATACAATAGTTGTGCAACCATTTCCATAATTCTGTTTTAGAAAAGTTCTATTTTTCCTCCAAGTTCCCTTTCCCTTTTATTTTCAGTATATATCTATACCCACACCTGAACTCAGACAACCATTAACCAAATTTTTTATCTTGTAGATTTGTCTTTTCCTGGACACTTTTCTGTAAATGGAATTACACAATATGTGGCCTTTTGTGTTTGGCTTCTCTCACTTGGCACACTGTTTCTGAGGTTCATCCATGTTGTGTTAGGTATCAGTAACAACAACTCTTCTATTGTTGAACAGCAATACGTTGTGTGCATATGCCACATTTGTTTATCTCCTCACTAGGTGATGGATATTTGGATTGTTTCTACATGTTGAGTGCCATGAACATTCACAAAAAAAGATTGTGTAGGGTGGGCGTTGTGGCTCACGCCTGTAATCCCAGCACTTTGGGAGGCCAAGGTGGGTGGATCACAAGGTCAGGAGATCCAGACCATCCTGGCTAACATGGTGAAACCCCGTCTCTACTAAAAATACAAAAAAATTAGCTGGGCGTGGTGGCAGGCACCTGTAGTCACAGCTACTCAGGAGGCTGAGGCAGGAGAATGGCGTGAACACGGGAGGCAGAGCTTGCAGTGAACCAAGATCGTGCCACCGCACTCCAGCCTGGGTGACAGAGCAAGACTCTGTCCCCCAAAAAAAAAAAAAAGATTGTTCAGATTCCATTTTTTTCATGGATAAATAAATAGAAGTGGAATTACTGGGTCATATATTATATTTAACTTAAAAAATCTGCCAAATAGTTTGCTATAGTGGAAATAACATATACATTACTGCCAGCAATGTAGGAGAGTTCAAGTTTCTCCACGTAATTATCAATTCTTAGTATTGCTGATCTGTCTGATTGCAGCCATTCTAGTATGTGTGTACTGGTCTCATTTGGTTTTAATTTACATTTTCCTAATGACTAATGATACTGAATATGAAAAGGCAAAGTATCTAGGTTAGTGCTATGGTTCAAATTCGTTTCCCAAAAAGCATATTTTGGAAATTTAATCCCCAATGCAACAGTGTTGGGAGGTGAGGCCTAATGGGAGGTGTTTAGGTCATGAACGCTCTGCCCTGTATGAATATATTAATGCCAATTATAGAAGGGCTTGAGGCTGTGAGTTCAATCTCTTTCTTTCTCTCACACTTTCTTGCCCTTCTGCCATGCGATGATGCAGCAAGAAGACCCTCACCAGATGCCAGTCTCTCAACCTTGAACTTCGCAGACTCCAGAGTTCTGAGCAAATACATTTTTGTTTACTATAAATTTCCCTGTTTATGGTATTCTGTTACAGCAGCATAAAACAGACTAAGACAATTAGCAAGCACAATCTTGAAAAAATGAAAATTAAGTTTGAAAAAAATCACAGTACCCAACTTCAAAACTTACTGCATAGCTATAGTAATTAAGTCAGCGTGATACCGGCAGACGGCTGGACATGTAGATGAATGGAACAGAATGGAAAGTTTTGAAATAGATCCAAAGAAGTATGGCCAAGTAATTTAGAGAAAGTTTCAATAGCAATTCATTGCAGCAATTGAATAGCAGTAGGAAAAGTAAACACATAAATAGGGAGAGGGGTTGTTGTATGCAGGTATTCGTGCTAGGCAAAGGGTTTAAAAGATGCTAATGTCCTTCATTTACTGTCTGTGCCGCCCTGAAGCCAAGTGTGTTACAGCATTATAGCCCCAGGCACATAACTAACTAGCACTGGCTTGCCAAGGAATGAACATGCCATGCCATTACTAGCTATTGAGGGAAAAGGGTCTGTGTGAAGCATCACTTTGCAGGGATTACTAATGGTGGGGCAGCAGGTCTGTGAATTAAGTTATCTCTTGACCTCACCCTCATGTCAACACAAATGTAATTCCTAAACAAGATGCATTGCCAGTCTCTTAGCCTTGTAAGCTAATCATTTGCTACATGGCAGACTATAATGAAAACATGTTTATACTTGGATTTCTAGTCTTCACTAGAAGACCTTGGATATATTTTTGCAGTTGAAAGATTTAGAAAGATTTTTACCTGCTTATAACTTGGAAGTTTAGCGTGCAATGTAAGAAAAAAGATCAAGAAATGTCATGTTATTAGCATCAGTCCACCTCCGATATTGCCGATCCTTTTTTTTTATTCTGGCTCAGTTTTATTTTGCACCAGTGCAGCCCCAAGTTACTGCTGGTTGTATTTAGTTTGTGAATAGGAGCCCATAAGTGTTAATAGACTTCGTAACATTCACTATAAGATGAATTATACAGGACATGGGAAATCTCATTAAGTCTTAAAGTTAATTTAAATTAATTTATCTGTTTTCTCTAAGAAAAGTTTATCATAAAATGTATATGTGTATTTCCCCTTTGGTTATAAAATTTGGGAAAGTATGTACAAGTGCAGCTGCACTGACTTTAATTTTCTAGATGTCTTAATGAGATTTATATGTTTTAGAGAAGAACATCTTGTTAAAAGCATCAAACTCTGTCTTACATAGCTGTCAACAGCCTCTTTAAGATGTGGTGGTTGTATGATCTGTGTCATAATTGTTCAGTTAGAGTGAGAAGTTGACCTATGATTCATTTTTAAATTTTATATTTGGAACAAAGCTGCAAGTTATGGTAAAGTACTGCACTGTGAGAAAGTATTATGATATTTAATGCATCTGTGGCTTAACGCTTGTGAGAGTTACCAGCTTGAAAATGATGGTGTTGACTACCTCTTGAATCACATCTATCAACCACTGGCACCTACCACCAAGCTAGCTTCAATTAGTATGTGTTGCTTTTTGGTATTAACAACTCTAACCATACTAGAGACCAAAGTGAACCCTGATTTTTATATGTCTTTAATAATGGTGTTTTATCTAGTGTTTTTAGATTATCCTGTGTAGTATTTAGATTACCTCATTGTCCATTTTGACTCATGTTGTTTACAAGTGAAAATAAAAACACTTGAACTGTATGTTTTTAAAAGACAAGAAAGGGGTAGCTGTTTGGAATGCATTTCACTCGCGCACAGTCATCTGGAGGGACTGAAGCACTGTTTGCCTTTCTGTACACTCTGGGTTTTATATTCTCATTTCATGCCTAATGTCTTATTCTGTCAATTATGGATATGTTGAGGTTTAAAAAAATTACTTGATTAAAAATAAAACATAAAAATAAATAAATAAACCAGACTATATAATTTTTAAAGATAACCATTGGGTACTGAGTTAATACCTGGGTGATCTAATAAAATGGACAACAAATCTCTGTGACATGTGTTTATCTATGTAACAAACCTTCATATGCACCCCCAACCCTAAAATTAAAATTTAAAAAGAAATATAATGCAAACCACATAAAAATAAAAAAGAAAAATCACCTGTGAAGAGAACCATTAAAAAATGAATAAAAATGGATGATAAGAATACACTTACAATGAAAATCTGTGAAATCTTTACAAGTGAGCATATAAAAAAATCTGTGGCCTAAATGTAGATGAAGAGTTCCTAGACAT
The DNA here is from genome assembly GCF_000001405.40 of Homo sapiens. Lineage (NCBI taxonomy): Eukaryota > Metazoa > Chordata > Mammalia > Primates > Hominidae > Homo > Homo sapiens. The sequence goes on along the minus strand of NC_000007.14, from coordinate 49,505,584 downwards.
GACCCAAATATCATAACCCCTAAAAGGAAAATAAGAAACTGGACTGCATTAAAATGTAAAACTTTTGCTCTCTGAGACATCCTATTATGAAAATGAAAAGGCAAGTCTCAAACTAGGATAGATTATTTGAATATCACATATAAGATAAGGGACTCCTGTAAATATGAAGACCACTTTAAACTCAAAAGTGAAAACAAAGAGTCCAATTAAAAAATTGCCAAAAAACCAAAGTGACAATACAACAAGGAAAATATATAGGTAGCAAATGAGCACATGAAAAAATGTTTAACATTTTTAGCCATTAGGGAAATGCACTAGAATCATGACCAGGTAGCACCGTACACTTATTAGAATGACAAAACAAAACAAAATAAAAACAACTAAGAGTACCAAATCCTAAGGAGACTACAGAGAAATCAGACCTCTTATGCATTGTTGACAGAAATGTAAAATGATACAAACACATTAGGAAATAGTTTGGTGGTTTTTAATAAAACAAAATTAAGCTAAACTTACCAATGACACAGCGATCACACTCCTGGGTATTTATCTTAGAGATATAAAAACTTATATTTACTTTAAAACCTGTATACAAATGTTTATATCCTATTCACTTGGAATAGTCAAAAATTGGAAATAATCTGAATTATGTTTTAACAGCTGAATGGGTAAACAAATTGTGGCACCTTCATTTAACAAAATGCCACTCAATAGCAGGAAAACAAACTATTGATATACACAACAACTTTTATGGCTCTCCAGGGCATTATTTTGGGTGAGAAAAGCCAACATCAAAAGATGACCTACTATGCTACTATGTAATTCAACATATAAGATATTCTCAATATGACAATTATAAAGAGATAGAGTACAGATCAGTGATTTTAAGGGATTAGGGAAGGGAGCAGAAGAAAATGCAATATAAATATTACTTCAATATTTATATCATATTTCACATATTATTTTTTGTGAAAAAATAAAGAACGATTTCCATTTTAAATAAATGGTAATTCTGGTCCAGGAGGCAACGTCTTCTGAGATTAATTTCTAGGATTTTATTTTCTGAATTTAAACTCTTTATAACAGTACCTATTCCTTTCTGCTGTTCCTTAAGTTCATTTTAGAGTTTATAACTTCTTTTTGAAATCTCCCCTTGAGTTAGAAGATCTCCTAGCAAGTGCCAAAATTCAGCAGGTAAAACTATTTCAGCTGAGGACAGGTGCGAAAAGAGGCTTTCTCTCTGCAGCCTTGAGATTTGAGCCCATCAATCACACACCCGCTTTTTATTCTCCGTCTTCATGGCCAAACAATTCTTCCTCTTCCCCAGAGAGAATTCTTCTCAAAGGTGATGCTTCCAAACTTTTCCTGAATAACTAATCGGTAAAGAAAGTGGAGAGAAGTGAATCCCCTGAGGCTGCTGTTTTTTTCATGATTACTTTTATAGTCAGGGATTTTTAGGTTTTCTTATGCCTACATTATACGAAGCTCACTTTGATAATAATGGAAACACATTTCTGTATGTCTAGACTCATATGCAAAAAAGTTTTGAACCAATTGCAAATAAAACTTACGTAATGTCACTTTTTCCTTAGGTCCCCAGCAGCTCTGTGGGTATAGTGGTGTGAGTGTGTGTGTGACACACTCAGATCAGCAGGACGTATTCGATCACCACTGCTAGAGCCCAGGACTGGACTGCTCACAGAGAGGAAGGAAGGACTGTTCTGTCCCAGACTGAAAGGCTGTCAGACCACCTCTGTGGCACTCCTCCCCTTAGGACTCCAGCCCATTTGCTTTATCCTGCTGTCATGGTTGCTCTGGCCCTTAAATGGGAGGCTGGATCATGCTGTGTGCAGTTCTAAAAGCAGCATCTCAAAGAGATATCAGGACGATATCCCAAATAGAAATCTCCAAACAACTGGTTGTTTCACTGCAAAACATCGTCCTCTGTAACAGGTGTTGCCAGCAAGAAGTGCAATTCCATCTGGAGTGTGAGTTTCTGGATTGCTGGCTCAGGACTGGAAAGCCCTTGTCTACCCACCAAAGCCAGATTATATCCACTAGAATTGATGACACCTTTGTTCTTCACTAAGGATTGCTCGTCAGAATAGTTCACTATTCCTACAGCTTGAGTTTCTCCAGGAACTGATTCCCAAACCCAGATTCCATATTTTATGTATTTTATGCAGCTGCTGAAATCTGCCAACCATTAGTCATATCTGTGACAGAGAGATATGAAAATGGCTAAAATCATGAAGCTGCAGGTTCTCAAATAGATGCCTACTCCTATCATGAACTCACAAGAGGACATTAAATGTTTATCAGGTGAAATAACTTTAAGTATTTTCACAAGCTTTGCCTGAATGAATTTGACCACTATAAAGCAAAGGTAGTTCTTTTGTTTAGATGAGGCCAAGCTCAGCCACTTAACTCAAAGGAGATGCAATTTTCTTTCTGAATTATTTTTCATCTAGCCATGCCTAAACATTAGCTGGAAGACTGAGCTTGAGGAAAAACTCCCAAACCAATAAAAGTGATGTTTGTGTTAAAATTTAGAAAATAATGTACTTATTTTTTTGCGTTATAAACTGACAGTAATAAGAAAGCCATAAAAGCATAAAATTAGGGGAAAAAATGTATTCCTGAGCCAAAGATGACATGAGGCTGGCAAAGGCTATGACAGTTGGGTCTGGTTTTGGGAGTGAGAAAACTGAGGATGGATGAGAGCTCTGTACACAGCCTATAAAAGTAAATTGCAAAACCTCCATATCTTGTTGGAAAAGCAAGTTGGACTGTGTTTGGGCATTGCTGGGGATGGTTCAGCCTTCTTTGATGTGGCCTCAGGAAAGTATAATCCAAATGAAGAATTTCGTAGTCATACCTCTGGGAGAAAAGCAAGCTGTCGGGCTGCCAGTATGGGAAAGTGAGGGAGAAAAATGTGGGTGGCAATCAGCTCCATAGCTAATAAAACTAGTCAGCTGGGGAAAGACAAATGTGTTAAATCACTGCATGAAAGGGGAACAACTTCATGGCCTTGCTGCTGGCCACTTGCACGTTCAACTTACCTAGAACACAGACATAACTATTATCAGAGAGAAACTGCTTAGAGGAAGCAGAAAATGTATAGAAGAGACATCTAAGATACCTGTGAATAAACTCACTTTCTTCTATCTGCTCTAGTATACTTTTTAAAAAAAATTATTTAAAAAAAAACTTCATCCAACAATGAGGAATCAGTATAGGACCAACTTGAAGATAATGTAAGAGGGACATATTTAAACAAACAGAACAGTGGCTAACAACACTTCCATTTCCTGTAACAAGGAGATCTAGGTAAACTGGATCTCTTCCCACTTCAGCATCTAGCAATTCCTTACACTACATAATATCAGCACTATTAAAATAAATGAATATTCATTCAATTCTAAGCAATAATTGAATGCCTGTGGGGCAGAAAACACCTGTCATCCCTAAAGGTAATCAGCTTACAGGCTAGCACATGAGTTTTAATACCACAATGAGTCAGAAGATGAGATATTAGCTTTAAGTAATACATGGAACCTAACGAGATTGTTAAATATACATAAAATAAGAGTTCTAGAGAAAGAGAAAATGCACAGAGGATAGCTAATGTTCAAAGAGGAAGTGGCTGGTTTTACATGACTGAAAAACTGTGAATCTTAAGTTTGAAGTAATACAATAAATGCTAAACAGGATTAGTAAAAATGAAGAAACATGATAGAGAGCCAGTGACCACTATGACAATAAAAATCTTAACAATATCCCCCATCTTAAAGCGGGTTGGAGTTTCCGTAAAAAATGCATTCGTAGAGGGGTAGCTGCTGGGGATACCCATAGCTAAAATATACATTTTCAGGCTCTGGCTGAATTGGATTAAGGCTTCTGTAGACGGTACACTACAGCCAACAAAACCAAATGCACTCTTTCTAAAGGAAAATAACACCAGAGAACATTATAATTATATTTTCTCAGTGCTGAGGACTGAGAAAATAAAGGTCATTCTGGTCTCTATAGTCACCTAAAAGGTGAATCAAAAGTGAGAGTGGGGCCAGGCGCAGTGGCTTACGCCTGTATTCCTAGCAGTTTGGGAGGCCGAGGCGGCTGGATCACCAGAGGTCAAAAGTTTGAGACCAGCCTGGCCAACACGGAGAAACCCCATCTCTACTAAAAATACAAAAATTAGCCAGGCATGGTGGCAGTGCCTGTAATACCAGCTCCTTGGGATCCTGAGACAGAAGAATCGCTTGAACTCAGGAGGCAGAGGTTGCAGTAAGCCAAGATAGCGTCACTGCACTCCAGCCTGGGTGACAGAGCGAGACTCCGTCTCAAAAAAAAAAGTGAAAGTGGAAAAAATTCAAAATCTTGAAGGAGTTTACAATTCCATTTACAGACTGTGCCAGATAATGTTTACTGCATTCAGTATTCAGTCCAATTTTTTCTTTGTGCATGAAAGTTTTTGGAAAGAAAAAAACTTTTATCCCCAAATCCCTTGCAGGTAGAATTCTACATGCAATACAGATTGTGCCAATGAGATATACTCACCAGAAGTTTAAAAGGGAAAAGAGAGGTGGCAGCCACTGCCTGTCTTGAGTATCAGACCTACAAGGCAGGAATGTGCAAAGGGGCTGGAATCCACATTCCACCTGCGGTCACAAGCTCCATATTGTGGGAAGTGCTTTTGTGGTGAACAATGGCAGTCCCCATATCCTGATATCAAGATTATAGTCGGAGATACAAAAAAAAAAAAAAAAAAAGGCAGCTTATATCCTCTTCACAACTTTTAAAGATTCTGTTGGCCAATGAAACATATATCCTAAATTATGTTACCATAGGATATTGGAGTTCTGTGATACATGGGATTAGAAGAGTAGGAAGAAGGAAAGTCACTCAGTTAAGTTAACACAAACTTGGAGAACTCATTTTGATTCTCTGGGCCACATTTTACTTATCTTGTCAATAAACCAACAACGAAAACATCTACTAATCAAGATGTAATGAATCTGGAATGCACACCTGGGTTGTGTCCCAAAACTTGTGCCACATAATAGGTTGGTCTACACGAATTCAAGGTACCTTATGGAAGGAAATTCTATTATTTCAATGGTTATAATACATCATTTTATATCTGATTTTATTATTCTACTGTCAAAGTAATTTGTGTTATTTCTATCTGCTGAAACTGAAAATTAGAAGTATGCTTTCTTTTGAACTTCTGAGACATACCTATCATTCTTAAGTCACCAGAGGATGCTTACGAAAGGTAATATATTGCCACATTGTATACTGAGAAGAAATATCATAAGAATGGAAACAGCACTGCTCTTTGTCCTTTAGCCTGTATCTTCTTTTAGCTATTTCACTCAAAAGAGGAGTAAAATCCTTTAAAATGAAAAGGCAAATGGTACCTCTCTTCACCGCAAATTTTTTACTACAAAATTCTCTGCTATCAGTCCTTCTCAGGATTATTGTCATCTCTTTTTGCTGGAATGGGTCCCACAGACCTTCAGCTGTAATCAGTACTTATAATCTCCAGTGGAGGAAAGATTCATTTCTGGAAAATCACTGTCATTATTCCGACATCCAATCATGTTTGGCACAGAAATCCCGATGAGCAGTTTCATCCAGACTCATGCTTTGCCCTCTTCCTTTTTCCCTTCCCCGAAACCACCTCTAGCCTAGGACACGGTGGAGCCACCTGTGAACAATTTTCGACCGCTTCCTTCTTAACATCAAGGAGGCTGAACTATTTTTAGGAGACTAGAGGCATCCTAAAAGTTAGAGTCTTTTGTCGTGTGTGTGTGTGTGTGTGTGTGTGTGTGTGTGTCTGTGTGTCTGTGTGTCTGTGTGTGTGTGTCCTCCTAGTTTCAGTTTGGTGCAGATTATTATCTGAGAGGTGTATCTGACTTCTGTGTGAGAGAAAACGTCAGCTCTGTAAAACTGAAAGTTGAGGATAAATAGATCAAGGAGGAAGAGGGGACCGAGGGTCCCTGGGGTCTTTGTGAATAACTCACTGCGGCAGTCATTATTATGGGGTGTTATAAATGGTATTTGATTGGGCCTTACCAGGGCTGTTCAAAGTGACCGTTATCTCAATTTTTATATTTTAAAAAATCCTGAAGTTTATCAACTTGTCTAGGTAAGTGTGTGAGCCTGGGATTTTAATTGTCTTGGTTCACAGTAGAGAGTAATAAAACCTGTATGTATGAAGATGCATTATTTGCTAGATTCTGCAGGATTGGGTCTTATGTATTATCTATAGAATCAGCCCTATTAACAAAATAAAAAGTGGAAATTTAAAAAGCTTAAATAACATGTCAAACAAAACCAACCACCACCAACAAAAAAATTTCATAAATAGGATATAATTAAGCTAGAATATACAGCTGGGCTGTGTACCAAAGATTAATTTTACCATTAATTTTATTGAGCTGCTGAGGTAAGCCCTGGCCTTTATGTGAGCTTGTGCCTGGAAATATTACCCTGAAGTTTCTAAGGCTAAAGGCCACCTCTTAAACCATGGTATGAGCCTCTGCTTTGTCTTTTTATTGTTCTTTATTCTCAAATCCACAGAAGAAATGTGAACAAAACAAATGTAAGTATACAAAGATAAAATATTCTTGACCAATTAACACCTGAAAATAAATTTAGGCACTCTAATCATCAAAAACAAACAAATATAAATCACCTGATATGTATTTACTTGGACTCATAGCTTGGCAGGTGAATAAGAGGAAAGTTATAATAATGTAAATACATATTCATTTATATTGTTTTTGCATGTGGGCTAGAATTTAGTAAGAGCTTTAAGAATAGAAATTTTGCAGTGTATTTCAAAAAATGTTTTAAAATTATTTAACTCTATTCCCTAATTTCCTTAGCCGAGATTCTCTCCTAAAGAAATAGTAAAAATGCAAACTACTCAGGAGGATGAGGCAGGAGGATTGCTTGGGACCAGGAGTTTGAGGCTTCAGTGAGCTATAATTGCCCTACTGTACTCCAGTCTGAGTCACAGAGAAAGACCTTATCTCTAAAATTATTTTTTTCAAAAACAAGAAAATAACAGTATTACTTAAATATGTACTTAATAAATCCCCCTTTGCATAATGAATTAACTTAAAATTAATAAGCATTATTTGACTATTACAAATCCAATGGAAATAATGTTTAAAAAGAGGAGCAAATGACCTGGAAAAATGAAAGCTATAATATCAATTGGAAACATATACAAATTGTATGTGCACTGTTTTCTAACTTGCATGAATAAATTAATGCATAATTAAAATATTGAGCCTGGGCAATATAAGGAGACCCTGTCTCTACAAAAAATAAAAAACAAAAATTAGCTGGGTGTGGTGCTGCATTTGTAGTCCCAGCTACTTGGGAGGCTGAGGTGGGAGGACTGATTGAGCCCAGGATGTCAAGGCTGCAGTAAGTTGTGATTACCCCACTGCCACTCCAGCCTGGGTGACAGAGTGAGACCCCATGTCAAAAAAAAAAATTACTGGAGAGAAAGCATCAGATCTCATTTGTTTTGGCCTTTGAGTGGGGGATTGTGGGTGTGTTTTGTTGTGGTTGTCTTTTTTTCTACAGTAAGCATGAATGTACCGCATAAAATAAATGTATTTCATGGTTTAAGGTAAAATAAGCATGGTGCTAAAATCCCTTGTCCATCCAGTTGAAAAGACTTTGTAACTGATTACACACAGATATCAAATATGTTATGACAATGTCAACCCCAATAGATCCAGAAATGCAGGTCCCAAGAGGGACCAGTGCTTTCTAAGAATCAATGTAGATTTTAACCCATGCCTCCTGTATTACCACGACCCATTACATTAGAATCTCTTGGTGGCGGCCTTAGCACTAGTGTGTTAACAAAGCTCTTCGGGTGTTATTATTGTGACCTGAGATTGAAACCAGTGGGCAGGAACAAGAGCAGTAATTTATGACAAAGTAAAAAGTCCCGAAAGGCGGCAGAGGTGGCCAAGGCTGCAGAGACCAGAGAAAGATGTCTAAAAGGGACACAATTCCACGGGGCTGGGAGCAAGTATGAAGGCTATTTATGAAATTTTGCTTTTCAGAGCAGCAGAAATAAAAAATATAACAAAGGAGATCATACTGATCCTTCAAGATACTCTCTGAATAAAGTGTTTTATAGACAGTGAAATAAAATACTGTTGTTTCCTAATTAAACAATGAATGACATGGATTCTGCAGTAGTTCCTAGGTATTTCCTCCACATACCACCCAGCTTACTACTATTTAATTATCTGGTGGGGTGACAGGTGCTCACCATAGTCCATGTTCCTCTCTTCCTGGGAACACAGGAAGACCTCCCAGTCCCCTGGCTAGATAGTGTGGGGTTGGAAGAGAAGTTTCTGGTTCTGCTAGAAACCCCATGAGTTAAAGAGACCTGTGTTATTTACATTTGAAGGTAATTATAAGCAAAGATTATTTTAAAAAAAAATACTGTCTCTTTTTCCTTTGCTGCAGCAAGTACAGAACTGCATGTTGAAGCACTGACATGAAAAAATTGAAGAATCTTCATGCAGCTCAGTCCCTGAGCAATGAGATAGAAGAGCATCCTCCACCAAAATGCACTGAATATATAGTATGAGCAAGAAATAAACCTGTGGTATGGTGTCACTGAGGTTTCTGAACTAATTTGTTACTGCAACATACTTTCATATTCCCTCAAAGAAAGGCTAATATTACTAGCTAAGAAATTTCTTGGTAGAATGTAAAATCCCAGTGCTGTCTTTAGTATTGATGGCATTTTTTTCAGAATTTTAAATGTTCATTTAAAAATAATCCTAATGAAGAAGAATACATGCCAGTGTCCACTATGTCTTCTAGTTATAAAATTAACCGCACACCAAATACTGGTTAAATGTGATTTAGATTATATACAGCATAACCTCATAATAACAAAAGGTGGGGTTTTCTTTTTTAATATATAGTTATCATGTTAACTCATCAGAAATAAAGTGTCAAATGAATCATTATTTCCAGTATAGAACACATATTCTCCATTCAAATATATTTGTGGAATTTAGGTAGAAACAGTTATAAATGGTTTTTCACAGAGTTCAAGGAAAGATGAGAAGGACAAAAAAGGCAATTACATCAGACATTTTGAAAGGAAGACCTGACATATCACAGGTAGATAGACTTCACATCTGAGAAAAAGCACTCACATCTCTAGAAGATAGGTCTTTAAATAAAAATCTATTTAGACTGATCCTCTTTTCAAAACATTATTGCAATTTGATCACACAGTTTTAGCTTTTAACAGATATTTCCCTTTTTAACAAAAAAGTTAATAATTCTTTATTTAATAAAACAATTATCTTCTGAGAAGCTTTGGGCTCTGGAGGGTCTCTGTTGCATGCACTTTGTCACACTCTCCAGGGGCTGATCCCCAGAGACCTGCTGACCCTGCGTCTGCTGGACATCACCTCGGGCATCCCGTCTCCATCTCCCACACCTCTACTAACACACATGATTGTCACTGTTTCCAAATTAGAAAACTGGCATCCAAGCTTAAATGACTCAAGGAATAAAGGCATCCACAAGTGCATTTTACAAAATAATGCCATGATTCATAGGCAATGTCATAAACAGTTGGGTACAGGGAAAAGCAAAGTAACCTGAATTTCAAACTCTAAGCACGAGACTTCAGTTCTAGTTTCACTGGAAAACATAAACACTGTCAAAACACAAAAACGACTAACCCTCCCCTTTCCTGGCTAATATGAGTGACAGCTGCCTGCTTATCAATCACAACCATATGATCCTTTATCTTTATAGACAAGATTTATTAACACATTCAATCTGAGCATAGTCTTTGTTTCCTGCCCCTTATGTGTCTGCTTTTCTAGTGTGTTGAGTGTTTGTCTATTAGAGAAACTCTGCAAGAGAAAGCGGGCACAGGTCTGCTAAGTTTGCCATCAAACAGGTCTCCTGGGCTAGGAGTTCAGAAGGTCTCCTTAACTGGTGTCCCTTGAAAACCTGTCTCAGGTCACCACTCATACAAGTGCACCTTCCTCAGCCTTGTCTCTCTGAAAGCTGCATTGTGCAGCTTCATCCACCTGAAATCATTGGCTTGCTCCTGCCCCTTGTCTTTGATGATCTGCTTTTGGCCAAGTTATGACCACACAAAATGACACAGGATCTAGCCTTACAGTCTGTTCAATTCTTTTTGGTCTGCTCCATCTAAAACTGAGTCTCTCCCAAGCCAACGCCTGTCTTCTTCACATTTTCATTCATTCATTCATTTATTTGTTTGTTTGTTTATTTATTTATTTATTTATTTATTTTGAGACAGAGCCTCGCTCTGTCCCCGAGGCTGGAGTGCAGTGATGCCATCTTGGCTCACTGCAAGCTCTGCCTCCGGGGTTCAAGCCATTCTCCTGCCTCAGCCTTCTGAGTAGCTGGGACTACAGCACATTTTCTTAATGTCATGCTCACATGTGTGCTTCTCTGTCACTGGCCCAATTTCACCAGAGACCATTTCAAATTGCAGGGGGTGTTTTGGGGACCTTTGAGCATAAACAAGTTTGAGCATTTGAAAAGTACTTTAGAAAAAAAAATAGAAGAATTTCATGAGAAGTTTGTTTGTTTAAAAGAAACATCATTTTGTTTAATATAGGCACCTTTCCCTCCTGCCTTTCTGTACTTTGAGGATGAATAGTGCTGATTTTTAAATTGTATGGTTTGATAAAATTGTCAAAGCCCAAATTAGGTGAAAATCAGCCACATGTCCGTCACTTGTGTGTATGCCTACATAAGAACATTATTTTTTCTGTATTTAAATATTCTTCCCAGGGGCATAATTAGGCTTCTACAATGATAATTTCATATTTGCCTCCTCCTTTTACTTTATTTTATATTACTCTTCCTTTCTTCTTACTCCTCTTGGGAAAGTTTAAAAGTTGACTGATGAAAAAGCAAATAATTTACTTTATATGTGTATACACTGTGAATATCTTGTCCAGACAAATAGCAAAATTTATCTAAAAGAAGGAAAAAATGTTATTAAACTTTATTTCTTTTTGTGGATCCTAAAAAGTGCATTTACAAAGTAGTCTTTGTTACTATAACTACAAGTGTAAAAACCTGGCTTTAATTCCAAGATAAAAGCTAAATTCCAGGCATAATTCAAAGTTTTTAAACATTCAAAGTCTTTACCATACAAAAACCAAAAGTAACATCACACAGTGTTTGGGTTTGAATACAACTGTCATTAAGTTTTTTTGCTGATTTGAGCTGTTTAAAATTCCTACATTGGTTTTGTGAGATAAATCATCATTTTTCTATAATTTGTTTAAAATTAAAAATTATATACACAAAATTGTGTTCAGCTGCATGGGATAATAATGGATGCATTTGTAAAGAGATTAATATACTATTCTTACAATGTTAAAAGTCATAAAAATGTAATAGCTAAAATTGTGATTTCCAGATCCTTACCTAACTTTCAGCTCTTAGGCAAATGATTAAGTTAATACACAAATAATCTTTGAATGGCTGCACATTTTATAAATAAGAAAAAGATGCAAAACATTGGTTTCCAAACATAATTTTAATTGACCCCCTTTTTTAAATGGCAATAGAGTAAACAAATATGAAGTGTTGTTTTGATAGCTATCAGTTGGGGACCTCAAGGTCAGTCTTAGGTTCTTGCCACATAAATCTGTCTGTAGGCCCTCTCCTACTTTCTCTGATTTCTTCCCCTTCTGGCCTCCAGATCCTCTTTTAAAAGGGTTTGACTGATTAGGTCAGGCCCACCCACACTCAAAGGCAGGAATTAGTTAGGTGTGCACACCAGGGGTCAGGAACTTTGTGGGGCATTTTGGAAGCCTGTCTACAATTTGCACAGAGACTGGAATAGTAACTGTCAGCAAAAAGGTTTGTTTTAAGGATTTCAGTTCCATAAACTCCTTTTACTTTCTGTTCTTGAAAGTTTTGGACAGGTACTGGGGTATTGACTCGAGCAATTGCTTGGAGCAATTGCTTGTTTCAGATTCCCCTGAGATCCAGTAGCCAAGACAGAGTCACTTTGCCTAAGAGCTGCAGCAGCAAGAGTGAAATGTGTGAAAACTTCGTTTTAGTCCTAAAATCTTCTCTAACATTAGTGAGTCTTCATACACCATAGACTCTTCTCTTGACATGAAGCCTTCAATATTTTCCAGCCATTCCCTTTCTGTCAAGTTCTGTTGTTTTTCTTTGTCTCTTTATACATAATTATACCTTGCTACAACACCTTAAACCTAACCATTTTGTATTCTTTACCTGAACAAGGATAATCCTATTTGTCTCTTTATACATAATTATACCTTGCTACAACACCTTAAACCTAACCATTTTGTATTCTTTACCTGAACAAGGATAATCCTATTTGTCTCTTTATACATAATTATACCTTGCTACAACACCTTAAACCTAACCATTTTGTATTCTTTACCTGAACAAGGAGAATCCTAGGATAACAACCTTTGATAGGGAACTATCCTGTCCTACAAGAATCTTCCAGATATGATTCTTTTGGATAATCCTGATTTCTGTGTATTGATAGTTCACATTTTTTAAACTAAAGCTTGCCAAACAGGCTATGCTATTACAGACATAACTTTATCCTTGAAATAAAAACTTTTCATAAGAAGTAAAGCAGTTCAGGTAGTTAAATTAATTATCTTTGCCCAGACCTTCTCACTGACAAAAGATAAAAGAGCAAATGTATGGATAGAAGGTATGTGACATTGTATTATTTCAAAGAGCAATTTGAATCTGAAATTACTTGGAAACAAAGATTTCCTGACTACTTCTGGAACCGATATGAAATGAGCCATAAATTATTATGATCTTGAGAGGCTTTACTACCACATAAGGAGATAACCACAATAAAGGTAGAGTTTAGTAAAAGTCCTTCCTTGTATTACCCATAATAATAAATAATAATAAAATGTGAGCATGTCATTAAACCAACAGTGACAGAGTAACTTTAAGAGTATTGCAGAGGCGGTTCCCATGCCTGCCCATCTGCCAGTGGCACCACCCTGGCAAGAGAATAAACTCAACACAGACAACAATCCAAAGCCCGTTATAATCAACCCCAAGTGGGTTAGGGTGACATTCTTGATATTGTAATTTGTTCTTTGAGTAGACTGAGGTTTAAAATCACAAACATTAAAAAAATAACAAATGCTGTATTTCATTTTTCTAACATGCTGAATCCCAAATTTCTTCCCCAGTAGTGGGGCATACATTTTAATGGAACTGTATCAAAGAGCCCTGAAAGCTTTACTTTTCTTACTCCCAATTTCTAGTCTCATTACTATCCATAAACATCAGTAAAATAAACGGCATAACATAAGTAAGCAATAAACATATGGTAATAAACATGAATAAGAGAAGAACTAAGTGACTAAACTCACTGAAGTCCGTAAACATCTCAAACTTCCGAAGGGCTCCAGAATAAGCCACTGTGGGACAAAATTTTTCTTGGGCTGAAGATGTTTAAGGTCATAAAATCTCTCATCTACCCAAAAGCAGAACCTCCAATAGGAACTCACAGTAATTCAACTGTTATAAATCCCCTCCCTAGGAGCAACCAGAGAAGACTGACTCCTATTCCAGGAGACAACGAGATGCAGCCACTACACCTAAACAGACACCGTCACAAAACTATCATATCTTTCATGTATTTGCCTAAAGGCCCATCTATCCTGGCTAAAAGTTATTTGTTTTCCTACGTGTGTCCTCCTCTACCTGACCTTACTCTCCTCACCTTCACCTATTAAGGTGACATATAAGCCCTAAGTTCTAGCTGCTCCTTTGATTCACATTTCTCTGTGAACTCCCTTACATGTATATGTGATTAAAATCGGCTTTTTTTTCTCTTGCTAATCTGTCTTTTGTTGGTTTAATTTGCAGGCCTAAAAGCTGAATGTAAGAGAGTACAGAAAATGTTTTTCCTCTCTGCTACTTCCAAAGCCCCAAATCCTACTTTCTACCTCACAAGAAGCTTGGGAGTCCTGTGACATCTCCAGCTTCATTACTAACAAGTACAAGCTGAATACTTTTATAAGTGTAGTGTGGGTAATTCCTAGGAACACTCAGTTCAGGGCTCCTGATTGATGGATATCTAGTGGATATCCATAAAGTGGTCAAGAGACATTGGTGTCAGTCTTTGACGAAGAGAAATATGAATCCAAGGATCAACAGGAGATTCACTGCTGTGTCATTTGCTGATAGTACGGAATAAGACCTTTTCCACTGAGCTTTAGGACAGACTTTTTCTGATGTCTTTTTCAGAAAGGCAAACCTCAGGCTTTAAGTCATGGAGGCAGAGGCTGCTTCCACGGATGTTCTGGAAATTCAGCTTATAACAGTACATTTTCCTGGTTATTATACTTTTTTTTTTTTAAGATTGAGTTTTACTCTTGTCACCCAGGCTGGAAGGCAATGGCGGGATCTCAGCTCACTGCAACCTCTGCCTCCTGGGTTCAAGGGATTCTCCTGCCTCAGCCTCCCGAGTAGCAGGGACTACAGGCTTGCACCACTATGCTCGGCTAATTTTTTTGTATTTTTAGTAGACATGGGGATTCACCATTTCGGCCAGGCTGGTCTCGAACTCCTGACCTCAGGTGATCTACCTGCCTTGGCCTCCCAAAGTGTTGGGATTACAGGTGTGAGCCACCATGTCCAGTGGTTATTATACTTTTATAATGAATTCAGGAATCAAGTAGTGTGAGTTCTTCAACTTTGTTCTTTTCCAAAATTGTTTTGGCTATTGTAGTCACTTTGCTTTTCCATAGAGATTTTAGAATCAGCTTATTACTACCTATAAAAAATTCACTTAGATATTGATTGAAATTTTTTTGAACCTGTAGTAAAAATTTGGGAGGTTGGTACATCTTAAAAAATTGAATGTCCATGAAAATTGTCTCTACCAATTCATCTTCTTTGATTTCTTTCAGTAGAATTTTGAGATTTTTCAGTATATAGATAGTGCACGTATTTCGTTACATTTATACCTAAATCTTTTTTGTGCTATAATAGTTGAATTTTTTCTTAATTTTGAATGCCAAACATTCATTGACAGTATATAGAAATATAATTTATTTTTAGCTGATTTTGTATTCTACAAAACTTATTAGATATATAACACACTACCATTGTAACATCTGCAGATCCCAATGATGTGAGGTCTCGTTGGGTACAATAAGCAATTACAATGTGCAATGACACATCTTTCCTGATGGTCTTAAAGCACGCACATAAATGTTTTTAACCGTGAAAAACTTTTTTAAAAATTTGTATTGTATTTAGTGATAGTTTAATGTTATATCATGTTAATCAATATGCTTCTAAGTAATAGAATAACATAAATATTAGTAGTCATGTGATAATTTTGTATTAAAGTCTCTTTGGTACTGCCCAGAAATTGAGAAATTGGAAGACACTAATTGTGGGCCGCTGATCCTTTTACGATAGAATGTAATTTGTCTCCATTTTTTATTTTCAACAAAACTAAGTGAGACCTTATTAAATTGACAGCTGAAAGTTTTGATAATATTTAACAATGTAACATTTTAAGAATGAGTTCAAATAATTAAATATTATTGCTACAAAAAATCCCCTTCTATTCCCATTTGTTTATATATGTAAAAAATTTTTAATTAATCTGAACTGATTGAGTTGAAAATATCTTTATACATCTCACTGAGGAATATATTTACAAAGTAATTTTACTTTTAAAACCTATTTTGAATATATTTACATTGTTTCAACAATTGTGAGCCTGTAATAATTGAAAATATATATCAATCCAGAAGATTTGCTTATTATTTAGTGCCTCAAGGTCTTTAAAAATTGAAATTTCTATTTATATATGTAATTTTTCAGATAAAAGGATGATAACATAAAATAAACTTTCAGGACCAAAATATATTACATTGAAATGTGGTAGATGTAGAATAAAAAAGTTGTGTAGAATAAAAACAAAAACAAAAGATTTAAATTCATTGCATAGAAAAATAACTTTTTCAAATAAATTTTAGACGGGTGATGTGTGGGTAGTCATATACTATGGAATTTAAGTTCCATTTGTTATATTTAAATGATATATGTGATTATTTTATTTTCAATATTGGCAATTCTAATATGCCAGTCATTGCATTTTTGCAAGTTTTTAAAGGCATGAAGATTTAATTTTTTAAAAAAATTAAATTTCTAAAAAATATATAATGAGTATGTCATTTTTTCAATGTTATTTTATGATATAGAGAGGAAAATTTATAGACCGTAAGTCTAAATGACTTTTGACAAGTTAGAGTAGCTCTCCTAGCCTTAGGTCTCTTCTATAGCCTGTTATACTTGGTCACGTTTGACACTTTTTCTAGGAGGAGAAACTTTTCGTCTACCTTCTTATTTCAGTTTGGGGGCTTGCAAATTAAACTTTCAGAAGACTGATTAACAAGAGAACAAAAAAAGATATTTAATTACATATGTGTGCATGGGAGTTCACAAAGAAATGTGATTCTGAGGAGGTGGTTAGAATATGGGGCATACACCATTTAAGTAAGGATTGTGGAGGGGCAGAGTGGCACTTCTGGGAGAAAAAAAAATGGCTTTTGGGAAAAATAAATGGGCCCTTAGAAGATTAGATTAGAAATATGATAATTTTATGACAATGTCAGTTTAGGTGATTTCTTATCTGAATGCTGACTTAGGTGTGGACTTCTCTTTGTTGATAAAAGGGTACTGAGTCTTTCCTGGCTGTGAAATCCCCAGGGAGGGGATTTGTGACAGTTGAATTATTTGTGGAGGCTTTGCTTTTAGGGAGATAAGGGGACTTCAGAAAAAGCCTCTTCCTACAGCTGTTGATTCTCAAATATCGTCAGCTTAACATAATCTTTATGCCACTGTGGCATATTCTGGGCCCCTTCACTCTCAATATTTTCTTCATTTCTTATATTCACCATATCTGCTTGTCAATGGTATCGTTGGTGCTAATTGTGCCCTAAACTATGTGTACAGCAGAATCGTCTAGGCAATTGGAAAAAACAAATAAACAAACAAAAAAACAAAAACAGACTCCCAAATGTACAACAAAGCTCATTAAAGAAATTCTCAGGGAGATAAATTATAAGTGAGAGAGTGAAAATTGTATGTATTAATAGTTCCCTTAATGAGCATAGGAGGTCTAGTGCTGGAGAACTGACCTAAACAGTCAATCAAAGCAACAGGTTTTTTTTAAATTAAAAATCTCATGATTAGTCAGTTTCTATAACAGCCTGTTCACTGTAGTTATACTGTAGAATTTATAGATATTCATTTTGAAACACAAACATGTACCACAGTCATTTTCTCTTCAAACAATAAAATTAGATTAGATTTTATTGAACCGTAACTTTATTGTCATAAGCAAATAAAAATGAAAGAGTTCTTAGAAACAAACCACATTGTAAACTAAAAATAAATTCCTAAACCCCTCAACAGACAGAACAGACCCCCCTCTTGGTCAAGGGGACCCTAGAGAAACCTGAAAATCTGACTTTTTGGCCGTGACAAGAAGGGAGGTTGAATGCGCCTCATTAAACTCCCTCTCTCTGGAGTTTAGGCTCAATCGAGCAGCATTAGTGTTAACATAGAGATGATAAGGCTGACAAAACAGACTCTTTCTGGCAATAAGATACCAAATTATAAACAAGACCTAAGATCATGCAAGGCAAGGGTTAAGTCATGCCCTCCAAACCATAAAATCCTGTTCGTTTTTGTTTTGTTTTGTTTTTTATAACCCAGTATAATGTGGCTTACTTTCCACCCTGACTCAGGTATGGCATTGCATGACAGGTAGCAGACACCCTTATCTTAACTCAAGCATTCGTTTCCACTGACTTCACGTGTTTTAGACAAAGCCTAACTCTTTCAAGCAATTGTCAAGTAAAGAATCCCTAAAGCCTACCTATGACTTGCAAGCTCTCACTTGAACATGTTCCACCTTCTTGGGCTGAACAAATGTATGCCTTCCATGTATTGATTTATGATTTTACCTGCAAGTTTGTCTGCCTGAAATGTATAAATCCAAACTGTAACCTGACTGCATTGGGCACATCTTTTTAGGACCTCTTGAGGCTGTGTATCCCTGGGCCACAGTGACTCCTATTGGCTCACAATAAACCTCTTTAAAATATTTCACAGTTTGTTTTTCTCCACTAAAATCATAAAATCATGCTTATCCTAGATGGAGAAATTAGAACAAAGGAGAAATTGATTTCAATGCCAGGAGCTGGAATCCATTTCCTATTCAAATGCTTTTTATCCCTGGGAATACGTTGTTTTACTTCCCTCAGCTGTCCACCTGAGGGGCAGATGTTGAAATGCAAATCAGTGGGCAGGGAAGAGA
Organism: Homo sapiens; assembly: GCF_000001405.40. Lineage (NCBI taxonomy): Eukaryota > Metazoa > Chordata > Mammalia > Primates > Hominidae > Homo > Homo sapiens. The sequence continues at coordinate 49,487,154 of NC_000007.14, read as the reverse complement.
GACTTTCCTGTTTCCTGCTTTTAAGTGCTGATATCCTTTGCCTTGTTTCTGTAGCAAAGCTCTCCTTAAAGGAAGGATTACGTCTGTTCACTGTTCCCTACTTTAATATATCCTGGGAGGGATGCTGTTTTACCTCTTGGAAAAAAAAAATTAACCATTTGTGTAACATTAAAGCTTGAGCCATTGTAAAGATAGTATACACTAGAATCTTTACTGACTTTTAAGAAAATTAGTCCTCAGTGTCACTAATGTGTCCTCTCCCTTATGTCATCACTGTTAAGATGTTGTCAATAGAATAAACTTATATATAGTGACTGTGAGAGGACAGTCATGGGCTATCCAAAATTCAATCAGATATCATGTAGCCCTGAGAATATAGAAGAATGATAGGTTTCACTGTGTTCAAAAATCTTTAGACTCAGGATGAAAAACATTTCTACTTCGTAAGAGCTAAAGAAATGTAAAATTCAACCAATCATAACATGAGTGGCAGGTGCGCCCTGCTGTGGGTAGGTGACTGAAATCTGGGGCTATGTTCCACCTCCTTAGTCACTGGAATAGAAATATAAATAGAAGTCAGCATGTCCCATCAGAGTTACATAAAATGGTCTAGTCACAATTTTTTACTTTTAATTAAATGCAATTAACTAGATTGTTGTTACTTTTGTAACTGGATCCTTCTCTTTTAAAAATGAAAACATATACAATTAAGAATAGATGAATTTAAAAGAATCAAAATCAGTTAAGATCTCTTCAGATCAGAAAGAACTGGATGTTAGTTAGCATTTTATAAAATCGTGATGTTTAAAAGAATTTAGAAACCCTATCAAATACAATTTTAAAATATGTATTGAATAATCAGTTTAGATCTGTGAGTTGTAAGCTAATTATTAATGTATAGTACTGAGTTATATAATTAAACTTTGAGTATAAGATACATTTAAGTAAACATAAAGTATAAACCATATAAAATAAAAACTATAAGTTAAATTTATTAAATTTAAAACATTTAAGCTCTTGAGAAGAATATTTTTGGCTACAAAATTCAAATACATAAGCTAGAAACTAAACATGAAATTAAGTATAAAAAGATTTTAAAGGTGACTAACAAATTTTGTAAATGGAATCAAATATTGAAATGCTCATTTGAAGTGATTACTAAAATGTGCAAGATTTATAAATAGAATATTTTATAAATTGAATGTTACATATTAATAAATATCTAGCCTTTTGTGCCTTTAGCAACTGGAATACTAATTGTATAAAACAAAAATAAAGCTCTAATTACACTTCTCTGTACAAAATAATTTTCAGGGATAGTAAAATCACACATCAGCATATGTAAGAGACTGTTAATCCAAAAGAAGATATTTCTCCCTCTCAGAATTTGGGAGCAAACTCAGAAATATTCACCTTCTAAAAATTGTCTTATCAGAAGAAAGACTGTTTTGGCAAAGATATTTGCAAAGTTATTATAACAGACAATGCACAATAAACACTATGTGCCAGGAAGCAGGTTAAGATTGTCCAGATATTTATGAACATAAAGCCTCACAACAGTCCTATAGGGGTAGATATTATTCTTCTTCCCATGTAACAAATGGCAAACAAAAGCATAGTGTAGTTAAAGAAGTTTCCCAAAGACACACAGCTGCTGGGAAGTAGAACTGGCTTGCAAACTGTGGTCCTCAGCACCATCCAGTTCTGGTAGTAATGAAAGCACATCATATCACATCATTCCTTCATGGACATAGAGGTTTCTTTCATTGCCTTGAAGAGGACCAGACTCTTTACCTAGGTCTGGGACCAGAACGTCTCTTGGAATGCCCCAAGCTAGTACTCTTGTTCTGAATGACAGCAGGTAACCCTGCATGCTGAGTGTGGCAGGAGGTGCTCACAGGTGAGCTTTCTGCTGAATTGTTCCTGGCTTCTGGTTTCAAATCTCCAACTCCCCCCAGTAGAGATAACTGATAAGGTCTCTTCAGAAAGAGTTCTAAGATGCCCAGGCCAGCTGTAAGAACATCTCTTAATCTTGGCCTCAAGAGTGTGGTCTAAGGACAAATACCCTTGTGCATCTGGGAGAGGCTTTGGGGAGAGGGCTTGAGTAGTACACACAAGAGGCCCAGCAAGTGTGATATTCACTAGATGGGTCCCGGGGTTAGTTGTAGTTTGGAACCTAGAGGCCTGAGATCCAGAAAAGACAAGTTGAAATAGTGAGTTAATAGTTTTCTCAGTCTCTCCCAACCTTGTCCACAAATCAGAGTATTCATGATTTTCTTGAATTGGAATAAAAAGGCTTAAGGTTTCCACATATTCTTTGGGCTGTAACTTTCTCGGTGAAATGGAACCAAGAACTGGCTACAGTGAGATCAGGGAGCACTTATTTCTTTGAGACATGCAGACTTCCTGAGTCCTTGTGAATAAGAGAATGGAAGATTAAGCAAAGCAAAGTAAAGGCAAATGTGCATGAAAAGATGCATTTGCAATTGCATGACCGGGAAATTATGGCCGAATTGGAGACCGAATATTTTTTAAGTGTATAGGAAGTCTTCTAATGACATACACTTCCTTGGAATGGGTGCTAACCGTCTTCCCTGTATTCACTCATCCATTCATTCATTCATTTATTCATAGAACTTTACATGGGCCTTCTTCCAGGTAGAGGAAAGCTAGTTAGTCATTGGTATGATTCTTGCCTTGCAGGAAGAGTTGTAACAAACCTCTCTAGAGTATTGAAAACCCACATAATCCTCATGTACTGGGCCTCTAGATTACCTAACATAACATGGTACTTTTCTTAATAAGAATAAAGCAAAGTATAGCACCCTGTGTGCAAATAACTTAAATGTCTGCTCTGCAGAATAAACTTGGATATTCCGGCAGGCAGTTGGTGGGTACTGGCATGTGACCTCAGCCCCATATTTGCATTTTGCAGTGATGATGCAGTGATGCCTTCTCCACAGAATGGAATAAAGATTCCATGTCATCTGTTGTCTCAGAGTGAGTACCCTTGGATCAGGTTCACTGGAATAATAAATATCTATTTTCACAGTGATGAAAGCAAATGTCCAAGCCTGACAGCTTCCTCCAGTCTTGAGTGGGGCAATTTGTCCCTTACCCCCACCAGCTGTGGTAAGTGAGCCAATGGCTGTATGAGTATGTAGCATTATGCCGCATCTAAGAAAGTTAGAGCTGGGGCAGGTCATGTTCAAATATGCCATCAAATTCAGACAGGCTTGAAGTGGGACTCTGAGGCCAGAGTGGGGACAAGAATTTATACTGCAAAATAATAATTCATAGGTCAAAATGATATTCTAGCATGGTCACTACTAGTATTGGCAAGCTGTTGGCAAGGAATGGGCAATACATTTCCTGTGTTCCTGGGAATATGTTGTGTGTAGGGCTGGAGAAATTAACAGTCTCTGAGGAGAAGATGTATGGGGGTTGTTGAAGGTATGTTATGACATTTTTTTGTCTTAGTTTGCTGTGTGGGCATAAGGCCACCAGGTATGGAGCCCTTTTGAGGTATGGAGAAGAAGAGAGATGTTTACCAACATTCTTGAGAAAGGGAGAATGCGGAGTCGGATTATTTTCTGAGTTGTGTGTACTGCTTTTGGAATTTCCCTTTCCCCAAAACCTTCCCCACAGTGGAGATGGCTGTATTAACAGCCTCTTCCCTTAAATACTCTACTAGAAGGGATTCCTCTACAGGATTCCACAGGGCAAGGCTCTGTGCTGTGTGAGCCAATTGGAACACTGAGGAGGATGTGAGTGGGTGTGTTGCATGAGTTCCTGAATGTCAGAGATTTTTGACTCACTCAATCCTGCACCCTGCTGGACAGAGTACCTGCCAGAAAGTATTCAAGCAATAAATAAACACGGAAGCCTTTGCGGGGGAGACATTTGTTCTTCTAGCCATGTCTCTATAAGGAGGAAAACATAAACATGCTTCCCATTTCAATCCATGCAGAGTCTTCACTCTTTTCTCCACATTTACCTGAATCCCATTGACTCATTTTTAGATCAGAAAGTTAATTAATCATTGGGGACACTTGAGCATGGAGTCTGTGATTAAGAGCCACAGACTATATTTTTCTATTTCTCTATTTTCCCAATTTCTATGCCACCTTTCTTTATTATCAGTCCATTTAGGAATAGGATTCTTTGTATATGTGAAGATTCTCAGGAGCTAGTTTCTGACTGAGAGATGTCAAGCAGATCTAATGAGAATACCAGTTTTTGCACACTGGCTCTGCAGTAATGCAAAGTGATATAATATTAGGTGCAGCACAGAGAATGAGGAAGCAATGTATTCACATTGCTGAGTGAGTGCTAGATGAGCCTGGCTCTCCAGTATAATTTCCTTCTCATATTGGAATAGGGGCTATGTGTTGCATGGGCTGACAGCTCCATTGGAGTGGGACAACCACACAAGATATGGAGCATTTATTATTGAAGCAATATTCCATGTTGGGTCCTATATCCATTTATACATAAAATAAATGATGGCTGACAAGATTTATATCTTATTGCTAAGGGAAATGATAACATTTCGAAGATCAACATTTTCATATGCAACATACATCAATGCCAGAGTTAGTGAGTGTTAATTATTAGTTCATTCTTTTTCCTCTTCCATACATATTTATCATGGCCTTTAGGGATGCAGTCATTTTTAGCTATGCAGAAAGGCAGATCACTTTCTTCTTGATACCACCATCATAACTGTGAAGCCCTGCTATATTTTCATAATACCTATTCATTTTTTTTGTTTTATTACCTATTTCTGGTTTTTCAACTTTTGTTTTGGAACCAGAGGGTGCATACGCAGGTTTTTTAGGCAGGCATATTGTGTGGTGCTGAAGTTTTGAGTACAATTTAATCTGCCCCTCCAGGTGGTGAACATGCTACCAAATAATTAGTTTTTTTTTCCAACCATTACACCCTCTCTCCTCTCCTCCCTTTCTTGTATTCCCCAGCGTCTATTATTCCCATGTTTATGTTCATCTATGCTCAATGTTTTGCTCTTACTTATAAGTGAAAACTTGTGGTATTCGGTTTTCTGTTTCTCCACTAATTTGCTTAGGATACTGGTTTTCGCTGCATGCATGTTGCTGCAAAGAACATGATTTTGTTCTTTTTTATGACTTCATAGTATTTCATGGTGTATATGTACCACATTTTATTAATCCAATTCACCGTTGATGGGTACCTGGGTTCAATCCATGTCTTTGCTATTGTGAATAGCACTGCAATGAACATATAAGTGCATGTGTCTTTTTGGTAGAATGATTTATTTTCCTTTGTGTATATACCCAGTAGTGAGATTGAGGAGGTAGTCCAAATTTCAAGTGGTAGCCCAATTTCAGTTCTTTCAGAAATCTCCAAACTACTTTCTACAGTGACTGAACTAATTTACATTCTCACCAACAGCTTTTAAGCATACCTTTTTCTCCACAACCTCACCAATATCTGTTAATGTTTGACTCTTAGTATGTTTTTTGTTGAACATGGTTATGTTTTCCTTCCTCTGAAATTTTATTAAGAATATGTTGCTCTCATATACACTATTTTGACATTTTTAGACTTAACATGCTTGTATATTAGTTACAAAACGTCTTGCTCTTCTTTAGAAGACATTGTATTTTAAAGCAAAAGAAAAAAAGGGCAGCAAATCTTCTGTAATCACAGAGATATTATTTTAATGTGGTGCCTTTTGATATATCAGAGTAATAGGTTTTCTTTCCAAAACAATAACAAAAAAAGCTTTTGAGGAAGGAAAAAAGTGATCTTGTTTATTAAAAAACCTTGACTTTGAAACTTTAAACATTTTTATTGCTTCCATGTACAAAGACCACAAAGCTCCTAAGAGGCAGGCTCCAAAGGTCACTTATAGTGTTTTGCTACTGAAGTAGAATTCCACCTTATAATATCCACGAGTCTTCATTTTTACACTGAAAAAAGGAGTTCAAAATTTAGGAACTAGCACAGCCTGTTCTTGAACTGTGCTTGTTATTGGAAATACTTAACTCAAAAACAAATCATTTATTTGAAACTTTCCCTACTAGTTCTAACTCTACCATAGAGTCAGTTCTCTGTTCTTTATTTCCAAATATGTTCTCTAGACATTTGAAGAAAGGCATCATAAGGTTTCTAAAATAATCTTTCCTGTGATATGTAGTCTAAATATCATCTTTCCTTTAATACTTATTCAGTGGCTTTATTACATTTCAGGATTTCATGCTGGTTCCTGAAGACATGGATGTGAAGGAAAGAGCTTTTGTGTACATAGCCCACTGGGAAAGATGCTCAAAAAAAAAAAAAGAATGTTGTAGCAGAGTGATAACTCTGTGGGTGTGTAGCTGTATTTTAAAGTGGTAAACAAGCCTTAGCTTGGAATGGACACTTTACATGAAAACATGATTTCCTTAAAGTGAACTGGCAAACATGTTTTTTCAAAGCAGTTGAATAGTTGTTTTCTTTTCAAAATGGTTAAATTTGTACACAAGTTTATCTCAGTACTGATAAGTATATCACTCTTGGTAAATACATGTTGTTTGCATTTATGCCTGCCTCACCCCAGAGAGATAAACACATTCCCTACACTGAAAGTTGTAAATATGTTTTTTAAAATACTGAACAACCTAGAATGTACCGATAAAGAATGGTATATGTAGTAAGCAACTTGTATAACCAATGACATAATGGCTGATGTTATTCAGAATGTGGCTGAGAAACTGAGCAGATATAATGGGAAGATTTCCAGGTAGGATAAAAGTACACTTCTCCAAACCACCGCATCAAAGCCTTGCCTCTTTTCTGAGTGCATAGTTAGTTTAACACTGTCAAACGCATAACAAATATTTACCACATGGCAGGGAGGACTGTGTTTCACTAAAGATTGTGACAGATAGTGCCAGCTGAGAGTGAATGGCAGTCAGGGCACTGACAGACTGGACATCTTGGTTTCTACCTTCTTTCCTCTCTTGTTCATACTTGCCACTTAGTTAGTTACAGGAAATAAGTAGGATTTGCCTAAGCCAGGTGGTATTTGTGTGCAATTTATTTTAGTATTGTCTACTCAGTGATTTCTCAAGCACAAGCCTTTATTAGCTCCTGAGGTGTGGCTCCTACGAAGAGCACAGAAGAGAAGAAATTTTCAATTTGTTGGCATCTCATAACAGCTTCAAAACACATAAAGTATAAAAGATCAGAACTACCATGAGAAGTTCAGAAAACATAGTAGCAGATATTGATTTCACTCTCAGTGATTGATAGTATAGAAAGAAAAAGTCATTAAAGTTTTAGAAGAATTGAAGAATGTAATTAATATGTATGTATTCGTACAAATGAACATGTGTGACATGCATGTGTATAGTATACATGTAACCAAGTATGGCTCCAAGTGTGTTAAAAGATAAGTAAACTAGTCAAAATAAAAATATGTTGAGGGTGGCACAAATGCACATATGGAAGCTGGCAGCCCTGTGCCTGCCAGCACCCTGCTACAGCTGACAAGCATTCACCCTGCTGCCCTGCCACTATTGCTGGCAAGTATGAAGGAGCAAGGAACCCACTGCCACCACCCTGACAAAGTGCTTTGGCTGGTACTACCTGTCAGAGTGTTGTGGCCAGTGGTATGGGAATACCTCAGCCCCTCCAGTGCAGCAGGTTCTTAACCAGATAACAAAATTGGGGGCAGGATAACAAACTTGGGGGCCTGATACCAGCCCCCCACCCTCAAGAATGACAGCATGCAAGCCAGGAGTGCTGAGCTGAGCCTTGGCCCTCTAAAACCTTTCAGAAACAAAGCCACCTTAGATCACAATCAAACCCAAGGGTATCAAAGAAGATAAAAGCAAACAGACACACACACACACACACACACACCCCAAAACAAAAACACTGAAGGGAAAGCAACTTCAAAGATTGAAGGAACATCAGCCCACACAGATGAAAAAGAACCAGCACAAAAACACTGGCAACTCAAAAAACCAGAGTGTCTTTTTACCTCTAAATGACTGTATGGGTTCCCCAGCAATGGTTCTTAACCAGGCTGAATGGCTGACGTGATCAAAATAGAATTCAGAATATGGATATCAAAGAAGATCATTGAAATTAGGATAAAGTGAAAACCCAACACAAGGATTCTAAGAAATACAATAAAATAATACAGGAGATAAAAGATGAGATGGCCATTTTCAGAAAGAATAAAACTGATCTGACAGAGCTGAAAAACTCACTTCAAGACTTTGAGAATATAATAGTAAGTATTAACAGCAGAATCACTAAGCTGAGGAAAGAATTACAGAGGTTGAAGAATGGTTCTTTGAAATAACTCAGTCAGACAAAAGAAAAAGAGATAAAAGAAGGATGAACAAGACATCTGAGAAATGTGGGATTATGTAAAGAGACCAGATCTAAAACTAATTTGTGTCCCTGAAAGAGAGGGAGAGAAAGCAAGCAACTTGAAAAACGTACTTCAAGATATCTTTCATAAAAAGTATCCCAATCTTCCTAGAGAGGCCAATATTTAAATTCAGGAAATGTAAAGAATCCCTGTGAGATATAACACAAGACAACCATCCCCAAGACATAGTCATCAGATTTTTCAATGTCAAAATAAAATATTAAAGGCAGTTAGAGAAAAGGGATAGGTCACCTACAAAGGGAACCCCATCAAGCTAATAGTGTTCATTCATTTCCACAGAAACCCTTCAAGTCGGAAGAGGTTGAGGGTTTATATTCAGAATTGTTAAAGAAAAGAAATCCCAACCAATAATTTCATATCCAGCCAAATTAAGCTTTGTAAGCAAAGAGGAAATAAGATCCTTTTCAGACAAGCAAATGTTAAGGGAATTAATTACTACCAGACCTGCCTTACAAGAGGTCCTGAAGTGAGTGCTAAATATGGAAAGGAAAGACTGTTACCAGACACTATAAAAACACATATAAGTACATAGACTATTGGCACTATAAAGCAACCATACAAACAAGTCTGCATAATAATCAGCTAACAAGAAAATGACAGGATTAAATTCTCACAGATCAATAATAACCTTGAATATAAAGGAGCTAAATGGTAAAATTCGAAGGCAAAGAGTGGCAAGATGGATAAATAAGCAAGACACAATGGTATGCTGTCTTCAAGAGTCCCATCTCAAATGTAATGACATGCATAGGCTCAAAGTAAAGGGAAGAAGAAAAATCTACCAAACAAATGAAAAACAGAGAAAAGCTATTTTCATTTCAGACAAAGCAGACTTTAAATCAACAAAGATTAAAAAGGACAAAGAAGGCCATTACGTAATGGTAAAAAGTTCAATTTAAGACCTGTTTTCAATATATACACATCCAATACAGGAGCACCCAGATTCATAAAGTAAGTTCTTAGAGGCTTACAAAAGGACTTAAACAACCGTAAAAAATAGAGATAGACTTTAACACCCCACTGATAGTATTAGACAGATCATCAAAGCAGAAAACTCATGAAGATATTCAGGACTTGAACATGACACTTGACAAAATGGACCTGACAGACATATACAGAACTCTCCACAGAAAAACAACAGAATATACATTCTTCTCATCTGCACATGGCACATACTTTAGAATAAACCAAATGCTCGGCCATAAAACAATCTTCAACAAATTAAAAAAAACTGAAATACTACCAACCACACGAACAGACCACAGTGCAATAAATAGATATTAATACTATGAAAATCACTTAAAACCATATAATTACAAAGAAATTAACAACCTGCTCCTGAATGACTTTGGGGGAAACAATGAAATTAAGCCAGAAATCAAGAAATTCTTTGAAACTAATGAGAACAAAGACATAACATAACAGAATCTCTGGGGCACAGCTAAAGCAGTAGTGATAAGAGGAAAATTTTGAGTGCTAAACACCCACATCTGTAGTGCTATAGATATTTAGAAATATCTAAAATTAACAATGTAACATCACACCTAGAGGAACTACAGAAACAAGAATAAATAAATCTCAAAGCTAGCAGAAGACAAGAAATAACCAAAATCAGAGCTGAACTGAAGGAAATTGAGACTTGAAAAGCCATGTAAAAGATTAACAAATGCAGGAATTTTTTTTTGAAAGAATAAATAAGATTGACAGACTACCAGCTAGACCAATAGAGAAAAAAGAGAGATGATCCAAATAAATACAATTAGAAATGACAAAGGGAACACTACCACCAACCACAAAGAAATACAAAAAACTCTTTGAGACTCCTATGAACACCTCTCTGTACACAAGCTAAAAACCTAGAAGAAATGGATAAATTCCTGGAACAATACAAGCTCCCAAGATTGAACCTGGAATAAATTGAATCCCTAAACAGACCAATCATATGTTCCAAAATTGAATCAGCAAGAAAAAGCCCAGGACCAGAGAAATTCATAGCTCAATTCTCCCAGATATATAAAGAAGAGCTGGTACCATTCTTATTAAAATTATTTCCAAAAAATTGAGGAGGAAGGACTCCTCCCTTACTCATTCTGTGAAACCAGCATCATCCTGACACTAAAACCTGCCACAGACACAGCAACAACAACAAAGAAAACCTTAGGCCAATAAATCCCTGATGAGCATAGATCCCAAAATCATCAACTAAATACTAGCAAGCAGAATCCATCAGCACATCAAAAAGCTAATCCATTACGAGCAAATAGGTCTTATCCATGAGGTGCAAGGGTGGTTCAGCATACACAAATTAATAAATGTGATTCTCCACATAAACAGAACAAAAGACGAAAAACACATGATCATCTCAACAGATGCAGAAAAGGCCTTCAATAAAATCCAACATTTCTTCATGCTAAAAACCCTCAATGCACTAGGTATTGACGGATCATACCTCAAAATAATCAGTCATGTATGACAAACCCACAGCCAACATCATACTAAATGGGCAAAAGCTGGAAGCATTCCCTTTGAAAACCAGAATATGACAAAATGCCCTGTCTCATCACTCCTATTCTACGTAACAGTGGAAGTCCCAGACAGAGAGATCAGGCAAGACAAAGAAATAAAAAGCACCCAAGTAGGGAGAGAGGTGGTCAAACTATCTCTGTTTGCAGACAGTATGATTCCATACATAGCAAACCCCTTAGTCCCTGTCCAAAAGCTCCTCCAGCTGATAAACAACTTAAGCAAAGTTTCAGGATATAAAATCAATGTGAAAAAATCAGTAGCATTCTGCCACAACAACAACGTCCAAGCTGAGGGCTAAATCAAGAATGCAATCTCATTCGCAATAGCCACAAAAAGAATAAAATACCTAGGAGTACAGCTAACCAGGGAGGTGAAAGATCTTTACAATAAGAATTACAAAACACCACTCAAAGATATCAGAGATGAAATAAACAAATGGAAAAGCATTCCATGCTCATGGATAGAAAGAATCAATATCATTAAAATGGCCATACCGCTCAAAACAATTTGCAGATTCAATACTATTTCTATCAAACTACTAATGACATTCTTCAAAGGACTACAAAAACTCATTCAGGGCCAGGCGCAGTGGCTTTTGCCTATAATCCCAGCACTTTGGGAGGCTGAGGCAGGAGGATCACAAGGTCAGAGCATTGAGACCATCCTGGCCAACAGGGTGAAACCCTGTCTCTACTAAAAATACAAAAATTAGCTGGGTGTAATGGCGCGTGCCTGTAATCCCAGCTACTCAGGAGGCTGAGGCAGGAGAATCGCTTGAACCAGGGAGGCAGAGGTTCCAGTGAGCCGAGATCGCGCCACTACAATCCAGCCTGGCGACACAGCAAGACTCCGTCAAAAAAAAAAAACAAAAAAACAAAAAAAAAACTCAGTCACAATGGCTATTATTGAAAAGTCAAAAAATAACAGGTGCTGGTAAGGCTGTTGAGAAAAAGGAATGCTTATTAACTGGTACTGGGAGTGTAAATTAGTTCGATTGTGGAAAGCAGTTTGTTGATTTCTCAAAAAACTCAAAACAGAATTACCATTTGACTCAGCAATCCTATTATTGGGTATATACCCAAAGGAATATAAATCATTCTACCATAAAGACACATGCATACTCATGTTCATTACAGTACTAGTCACAATAGCAAAGACATGGATTCAACCTAAATGCTCATCAACAGTAGACTGTGTAAAGAAAAGGTGGTACACACACATCATGGAATACTACACAGCAATAAAAAAGAATAAGATCTTGTCCTTTACAGGAACATGTATGGTGCTGCAGGACATTATTCTAAGCAAACTAACACAGAAACAGAAAAGGAAATACCGCATGTTCCCAGTTATAATTGGGAGCTAAACATTGAATTCGTATGGACACAAAGAAGGAAACAACAGACACCGGGGCCTACTTGACAGTGAATGGTGGGAGGTCGGTGAGGACTGAAAAACTACCTATTAGATACTATGCTTATTACATGGGGGATGAAATAATCTGCACGTCAAACCCCCATGACATACGATATACCTAAATAACAAACTTGTACATGTGCCCATCACTCTAATATAAAAGTTAAAAATAAAAAAATAAATTGAGCATATTTTGTTTATATAATGCTCAAAACCAGGCAACTATATTGAGTATGATTTAAGATGTATATAGAAAGAGTGTTATTTTAAAGATAGTAAGATAATATTTTCATCATAAAGGAAACTGATTAGCACAAGTTTGAGAGGAAGTAGTGACTGAACAAGGCATGCAGATATTTCTGATGTCTTGCAACACCATACATCTTTATCAGAGCAGTAGATAGATGTCTGTTTACTTTATAATTATTAAGGAGCTATACATATGGGTTTATGCACTCTTCTATTTGTGTGATATTTGTTATAACAAACATATCAAAACTCAATTTGTAAAATAAAAATCAATAATCTCTTTGATGTGGGAGTTATGATGGCACTATGTAGCCATAAAATAATTTAGGAAAAGTGCATTATTTATTGATTATTCCCCTTTGCCCAGGTTAAATTTGAGGTACCTGTAGCATTTAAATGCACGTTTTGTTAATATTATACTATCCTATTTCTTAAGTTTTAAAAATCACACTTGTGATCATATGGATTCTTTTTGTGTTTCTTTTACAATGTCATACTTCAACTTTAACAAAATATACTAAATGTGATATAATCAGCAGAAACCTCCATCACCTTTGGAATCTCATTCATCAATAAGCTTCATATCATGGAAAATATGAACCCAGTCTCATATGTTATAACTGATATGGTTAGGCTTTGTGTGCCCACCCAAATCTCATCTTCAATTGTAATCCCCAGGTGTTGAGGGAGAGACCTGGTGAGGGGTGATTGGATCATGGGGGTGGTTTCCCCCATGCTGTTCTCATGATAGTGAGTTCTCACAAGATCTGAGGGTTTTATAAATGTTTGGAAGTTCCTCCGTCACTCATCTCTCTCCTGCCACCTTGTAAAGAAGGTGCCTGCTTCCCCTTCTCCCATGATTGTAAGTTTCCTGAGGCCTCCTCAGCCATGTGGATCTGGGAGTCAATTAAACCTCCTTCCTTTGTAAATTACCCAGTCTTGGGAAGTTCTTTATAGCAGTGTGAGAATGAACTAATACAATAACTAATACCTACCCTGAAACATTTCCAAACATGTACTCAGACTAATATTTCATCTGCCTTATACTCTGTGTCTATGTTACTAAGTCCATTTTCAGTCAGTTCTCCAGAACATAGACCACTGTACAATCTCTAATATTGACCCCTCTTCCCCACCATATTTACTTTCTGTCCTCATAGATAGCCTTCAATTTCACCAGATAGCTAGCCTTTGGGCAGCAAATCCTTTGCAAAAGGGACCGAGGACACTGCAGAATATTAGCCCCGGGTTTGAGGGAACAGATTAATAAAAATCTCTAGGTTTCAAATTATGGATTATTTGATTGAAGACAGAAAGGGAAATGTTACAATTTATTTAATATTCTGCTGGTGATCTGATCTCTGGAACCTTAGCAGAGCGAAGACTTAAGGCAAAATGATCAGTGGGAAATAGGGACGGTCAGAGCAAATCTCTATGAACTCTCCAGTACACAATCATGAGACTTGTCCAGTGTTGTCCAGTATGTGATTACTAAAAAGGCAGTGTGTACAAATATACACTAATTTAACATTATTTTCTTCCTCTTTGAAGAACAAGTCATGGTTAATACAATTGTCTGCTTACTATGATTGCCATAATCCTGTTTCCGAGGTTACATTAGCATCAGGCAGTAGCCTGAAGATAGGTGCATGTGAATATCAAAGTATTTGAGTATTAGGAAGGTTTCTTACTGCATTTGACTGTGTCCATGTGTGAAATTAATCAACCATGTCTCTAAAGATAAAAAATGTTTAACATGATTTATTACATAGATAATACAAGCAATATTGGTTTTAAGCATATTATTTAAGATTTCATATTTAAATATTTTGAATAGCAACTGTTTTTGCAAAAAAAGAAAAAACGATAACAGGAATTCAAAGTGGTTTGTTTTTTGTTGGTGGTGGTGGTGGTGTTTTGTTTTGTTTTAATGTTTGTCAGCTCCACTGCCTGTCTAATGCTTGAGTAGTCAATATTGGCAACTGAATCAATCCACCCATCACTTAAAGAGGAAACATCTCATTTGGTTACATTTATTGTCTGATTCATTGAAATAAAAGACCAATTTTAACACAACAGTTAATCCATAATTTGATGTAAATACAAACACATTAAGAGCCAAAGGACATGAAAAGACCTTACTAAAGTGAACAAAATGCGGCTAGTTTAAATCATCCTAACACTTTAGCATTGGCTACCAGCTGAAGATTTTATTAAATTTGCCTTAAGAGTTACATTTTTATATGGTTAGCTTTAATAAAATTTATGAAAAAATAGAATAATTTGGAAGATTAAAGATACAAATTCTATTAATCTTCATATAATCTTAATGATAGAAAAACATATGACTATAATAAATGCTATATAATATACAATGTATACTCCTATATACTATAAATATAGTACAATATATGTTAAAATATGCAACATTATATAAATATATAATTGTTATATTTTAACCTATATATCTCAATTCCATTGATGTCACAACATTTAAGCAACAAAAAAATTAACAAGATAACTTTGTACCTTCTTGTACATTAACAGATGATATTAAAATACAACAATTTTTTTTTAAGAGAAAGACCTACATGGCTCATGCCTGTAAACCCAGCAGTTTGGGAGGCTGAGAAAGGGGGATCCCTTAAGCCCTGGAGTTTAAAACCAGCCTGGGCAACATAAGGAAACTCCATCTCTACAAAAATTAACATAAAAAGATTAGCCCAGCATAGTGGTGTGTGCCTGTGGTCCCAGCTATTTGAGAGGCTAGGCTGAGGCAGGAGAATTGTTTGAGCCTGGGAAGTCGAAGCTGCAATGAGCTGTGATCATGCCATTGCACTCTAGCCTGGGGGACAGAGTGAGACTCTGTCTCAAAAAAATAAAAAAGTTTATAAAATGTATAAGTTAAGATTTTGTTTTGTTTCAGAAATAAATGACCTGGGAACAGAATACAGCAGAATATTGATTTTGCATTTTCAAGAGTCTTTTATTTAAACAATATAATGATAGATTCATGGTACATAAAATATATTACAACTTTCTTAATCAGACTACCATTTTTTCTTTATTAGAAAATTGTAAATTGTTTACTGCTCTTTCCATTTTATAGACAAGTTCAGAGAAGTGACGTGACTTCCTCAAGATTAAACAGCTGATAAGTGGCAGAATTGAGACAAAATTTTTTAATATTGATTCATAATAACATTGATCTCATTACGACCTATATTTGAATGGGATACTTCTTGTATGTGAAAATCATAATCATTGTTATGATTTAGAGCTTGCAAAGGAAATTTGAAATGGATAGAAATGTTTAGACTTTGGAGTTATCACTTTAGTTGAATGCTTCTTCACTGTGGAAAATTAAATTTTGAAGGTCAGTTCTACAGTTTGGCCACCCATTTTACTGAGTGGAGATAAAAACAAACAGACAAACAAACCCCTCAAAGTAAAATAACACCTGGATCGATAGGGAAGGTTATGACAACCAATTTCAAGTACAATTTTAAGAATTTCAGTACGAACAGGAGTGTTCCATAATATTTGATCTAGGCAAATACATTCTCTCTTCCAGAAATCAAGCGAGAATTAAAATTGATTCTAAAAGATTAATGTCACCCTTCTCTACAGAAAAACTCTATTTTTCTCTTTACTCAGACTCCTTCACTCTTGTCACCAAAATGTGCGAGGAAATTCTGCAACTCTCTGCAAACAAAACTGGATGTCCCATAATCAATTTAATTCTGACACTATCTACCTGGAGTTATCACAGACCCCACATGTTAAGGGCTCAGTCCCATAAGACTATCTCCAGTTTCAGAACCCAATCATAAGTGGTGGCTCCCCGGGACTGAATTGCTACCAATCAGAATCAGAGGTTCCCACAGCCCTCTCCTCAGGTTTGATTATTTGCTAGAATGACTCACAGAACACAGGGGAACACTTATTTTACTGGTTTGGTAGAAAAGATATGATAAAAAAAAAAAGTACCAATGAAGAGATAAATGAAGAGATACATGGGGCAAGGTTTGGGAGGGTTCCAAGAGCAGGAGCTTCTATTCCTGTAAAGTTGACGTGTACCACCCTCCCACCGCATGGATGTGTTCACCAACCTGGAAGCTCTCTGAACCCTGTACTGCAGGGATTTTTATGGAAGCTTCATCATGTAGGCACATTGTTAACTCAATTGCTAGCTTTTATTTTCTTCTGACAGAATGAAGGGAGGGGTTAAAAAATTCCAAGTTTCTAATTATGGTTTGGTCTTTCCTGTAAGCAGCACCTACTCAGAAGGCCACCAAGAGTCACTTCAGTAGAATGAAAGCTTCCAAGGCATTTAGGAGTTCTGTGTTAAGAACTTGGGTCAAAGACCAAATATTACAAAACAAGATGCTCCCAGCACACATATTGTTTAGGAAATTACAATAATTTTAGGATATGTGGGCATGAAATGCAGATGAAAATCAATTATATATTTCTTATTACATGTCACAATATCACACCATTCACCAGACCACAATGTATCTGAAAAACTAAATTTTGATGTCTTTCATGCACATTAGACCCAGTGGATGAGTTCCTTTACATTTTGCCAGATGAGCTTCACAGCCATGATGGTTTCCTATTGGTACATCTCCAGGATTTCAAAATTTCTGCAGCCCAAATCTTCAAAGACAAGGAATTGAATAAGAACATCACCCTTGATGAGGCTTTCAATATCTGAACAGTCTTCTTCAGAGACAAATTTGAAGTGTTAGGAACCTCAATTCCTTGGTTTGAATTTATGAGTGTTTTGACAAAACATCATGACATTATTACTATCAAAAAGACAGATTTTCAGAAAATTTATCATCTTGACATGGACTTTTAGTTACATGAGAACAGGTTCCGGATGTTTTTTACATTGTTGCTACTGGAAACCTGGTCATGTTTGTCATGGACAAGAGTACAGAGGAAAAGAACAAGAAAACAATTGGTAATGACAATGACATCTAAAATGACAAGTAAGATATAAAGTCCATGGTGAAGATGAAGCCAAGAGACAGGGTGTCTTCTTCCAACTCAGCTTTTAATACAAAGAGCAAAATGGGAGATGGAAACTTCTAAGATCAATGAGGAGGAAAAACAGAAGATTCTCAAAAAGTGCAATAAAATTATCTCCTGTTTGGGCCAGAACCCAGCTGTCATTGGATCTGTTGCATCAGTAGGAAAAGGAGAAGAGTTGCAGTCTTATTCCCAAAGGTGTGCCAGAACTCCACGGCAAGGTGCAGAGCTGCCTGCCATTCTGGAGAACTTCGCCCATAGGTGCATCCTGGGTCATCACTTGCAAACAGTCATCTAAGAAAGGCAAGTATGTTCCACACAGCTGACTGCAATCTTAGAATGTCACAAATTTTAAGCCACAATAGTTTTATTGGTTAAAATATATTTGAGCTATTATATAAATTTCTAGTCATTTTGAATACTTGAATAAGTTCATAACAGAAAAACTGAAACCTACAACAATTATCAGAAGAAAAATAATTGCAAAGCACACTTCACTACCTAAAGAATAAATCTTTATTTAAAGCTAGTACCACAAAGTTAAGTATTCTTATAAAAATTTCTAATGACATAGTAATATAAAGAATGAAAAGCAAACTCCCCCATAATGAGGGTTACGTTTAGAGACCAAATGAGGATCAAGGATGTCTTTCGCAGATGTTAACCTAGTGAAGAATAAACCAATTTAGATGTATGTTTGGCAGATACCATTTTTCCAGCACATGGTGGAAATGGCTTTCTAAAACAGACGTGTTAAAATAGCCATGTGTGGGACAGCAGAGGGTGAGAGTTGATTATTTGAACCAAGACTGGAAGAATATTGATTGTTGGGAAGTTAAATATCTGTCCCAACCTTGGAGACGTCATGCTAAGTGAAATAAGCCAGTCACAAAAGGACAAACACTGTCAAATTCCAGTGTCTAGTGATGGAGACACCTAGAGTTATCAAAATCACAGAAACTGGAAGGGTGGCTGCTGCAAACTAGAGGGCTGGGGAGGAATAGAGAGTTAGTGTTTAATAGAGACACACTTTCACTTTGGGAAGAAGTAGTTCTGGAGATGGATGGTGGTAATGATCGTACAACAATGTGAATATATTTAATACCACTGAACTGTACACTAAAAAATGATTAAAATGGTAAATTTTATGTTATGTATATTTTTACCACCATCACAATAACAACCCTGTCTCTGGGTTAAATTTACTAACTCAAAATGACAGATTCAGAACAGCCTGTTTGGTATTATCTCATCTATCCTTCTTCAAATGGACCCTAAATCAAGTTTCCATGCAGACTTTCTGCACACCTAACACACTGCTTTTTACCTAAAGCAGCTACTCATATATAGTTTTATTCTTAAGTGATAGAAATTAGCTCATCAGAGAAAAAGCTATTAAAATCTTTATATTGAACATTGGTTTAATTTCCTCTCTTCCTCAAGATCCTATAAGTGAGTGCAAATACTGTACTCTTTTGCTATTGAGAGCTTGTTAGCAATCTGATACTCGGCTACTTTTAGAGAAGTAGGAACAGATCCTCATTACATGGAAAAGAGGGCAAAAGGATTCATATAAAATAATATTAGCAGAGAAAACTAAAAATGTTTTTGGGCTTGAGAACACATCATTCATGAAAGCAATTAGAATAAATAACTTTAAAGTGGCAATTATGATGCCATCTACTTCACATGATTATAAGAACTTTAAGAAGAGTAAGAAGCCAAACTAGGTGACAACTTCCATACTACTGCCAGCAATATGGAGGACTCTCATCACGCTTCCTCATGTAGCTGTTCCCCTTCCCACTCATTATGCAACCAATGGATATGCATTTGAGATAGCATAGAAAATGCTGCAAACACAGCCCACTGCCTGACATACACATGTTTATCGTTTACTATAAGGAGACAAAGGACATTGTAATACACTTCCTGTTCTTAGAAATCTTTTAAAACTCTTCTTTCTCTTGCTTTCACTGAGTCTGTGCTATATCCATTCTAAATTGATAAGTGTGGGTTTTTAACCTGCTAAACAAATGAAAGATGACTAATGTTTTAGGAATCTCTTTTATCTTTAAAGTTTGTTTCATAGTCTTGGAGCAGGTTCTTAATATTACTGAGAAGAGGGGATAATCAGGCAGTGTTTTTGTCCTTGTACTAAATGGGAATGATAGCCATGAAAATGCTATGTAAGCCCCTTTAGTTCCACAGCTGACTGTGAGCTCACACTGAGTTGTGAGTTTGAAAACATAGCACACACACGGATCACTTAGGCTAATCCACAAAGTTCTGCAAGAGGACTTCTAACTGGCTTTTTTTCCCTTTGCTCCAGAGACCAAAATCTGTGCTGATTTGTTCTAGTCCTGATATCCAAATATAGCACCACTTACAGGGGTCCTTTAACAGGATTTGATGAAAACCTTGAGGTATGTTGAGAATGCAGTGTGCTTCATCGACACACACCAGCCATCTATGGCAAGAGATCCACAGTATAGAGTGCATTATGATAGTCTCCAGTTTCTGCTGTCATTATAGTAGTAGAATTACATAATATTTAATGAACTTCCTCTCTTTAAGTTACATTGGACAAAGAAGGTGACTTTCAAAAATAATGTTGATGGAGATTATTCAGGATAGAGATGACTTACTGCAGTCCCTATGGAAGATTTCAGAAATAAGAAAGCTTTCCATAGAAACAAGTCGCAGTTTAAAGGCATCCTAGGATTGACTAAACCAAGTTACTCCAGAGGATAGGACACAGGTCATACTAACAGAGACTACTGCTTTAGCTCTGCTACCCTGGGGTTATCAGTAGTCCTAGAGAGGCAATTAAATACTGAAGCTAATGGAAGCATTTTGGAGTCCAGGCAGACAAGAACAAGTCCCAGTACTGCCACTCACAGACTCAACTCAGGTGAGTTTACAGCTGTGAAGCTTACTTTCATTTATGGTGGAAGGATGATATCTAATTACAAATGTTTGTTGTGCAGGATCAATGTGCAATACATGAAAAGTTGCATATAGGAGTTCCTGCTACATATTACTTCTCTATTAAAGTTATCTTAAATAATAATGGTATAATATCTTATAATATCTAGTTCTAGCCTACAAATAATGAAATGAGAATTCTCATCAGCACACTTAGAGATTTTCCAACCCCCAAAAGTCAATTGGCATTAATAATTTGCCAGTGATGTTGACTTTACCTCCTTATTTGTCCTAGGTGGTGCTATATTCTTTGTTCAGGGCATCCCAGAAATACTAAAATCCCTTTCATTTTTTCATAATTTCCCTGCTTCATGTCACATTCAGACCTTCTCCTGTCCTTCCCTCTGCTCCTAACACTGCACCTGCCACCTCTTAATTACCCAGCTCTTGTTCATCCTTTACAGTTCAACCTAAATAACATTTTGTGGGACGCCTTCTTCTAATACCTAAATTAACTGAATGCCTTTGTAAACTCATCATTGCTCTTTTACTTCCTGTGACTTTCATGGTGGCTCCTCTGTTAGATTGCAGGTTGTGGTGCAGGGAGTGACCCAGCCTTATTCTCTCCTGCATCTCCAGCACCTGCCTCATGCCTGTACCTCACATTTACCTCATAAAGGTGCTGGATGTAAGTGAATTGCTGGCTCACCTTGAGGTTCCACTGGTTCTGGCACCACTCATTATTCAGAGTCTTACTCAAATTTCGCCCTCCCTAGAAATTCTCTCTGACTTCCTGGAGCAAATATCTGTGCTCCCTCTTTCATGGTCCTATAATACTGGGTACACCCTTCCTGCCAAAAAACCATCTATTTCCCTTTTTATAACGCTTGCTGGACTGGGCACCTGGAGGGCATGCACTTATTTCTGCACTGGAGTGAGAAAGCTAGAATGAACTTAAAGTATAATGAGTCAATTAAATTTTCTCAGAGAACAAAAGGAAAAGTGGGAGAAATATGCTGAACATACTAGGTCCAAGGAAGAAGCTCCGTACTAATTTCACAGTTCAGAAAATGGAAAGAAGTAAACCAAACAAAACATGAATACAGAAATGATTATAAAATGGGAAAACCTGGAGACATAAGTGGTGTTTGCAAAGGGAGACAAGAGAATAAAATCTGTGGGGTAAATGCCCTCTGGGAATTCTAGTTCCTGCCTTATGGCAAGGCCTTCATTGACATTTATGTGCTTTTCTTTGAGAAGAGTAGATTGAGGTCCGGTATACTCTTGATGTTTGTTGACGTCTTGGCATTGAAGAGTTAGGTATTTATTCCAATTTTTCCCAAGGCAAGTTCCAAAACCCAGGAAGGACAATTTGAATCCTATACTGGGCATCCTAGTTGTCCAAAACTGAACATAAAATGCATCTTCCCATTCTCTATTTTTATAACTGCCTCCCTTTTCCTTATGGGCTTTATAATCTTCTTGTCATCTAGGGATTCCTATTGTCTGTTTATTCTGACCAGAACTGTGTGTCATAACTCAATTTAAGAATTCTGTCCTTCCTGGGGAGTTAGAACAAAAATCCCTAAAAAACATATAAATAAATAAAAACAAACAAGAATGCAGTTAAATGGAAAGACAAGGATAGACAGAGAGAGGGGAAGAAAGAAAGGAAAAAGAAAAGCTACGTTTACTTGGCTCACATATGTAGCATGCTATGAAACAGGAGAGTTGGCATCCTATCCCTCCTTGACTTTCTTAGAAGAATTTCTAGGCATTCTAGAACATATCTGAAGAAGTTTAACAAACAGTGGCACTTATAGTAATTTGGCATGATTCTTTTCATTACTTTTAAAATTCCCTACCCCCCATTCCATATCAACTGAATCTATGGAAAAGGCACTGAATTTTATAAGATGCTTAATATATAATGCATGAGTTAGCATCAAACCGATAATAACAGTAATCCGGCAAATATTTTAAAACATACTTTGCTAGAACTTATATTGAATGTAATAGCTTTTAAGTTGCCCTGTTGTTAAGAAAATGATACATTTAAAACTATAAAAATCCAAAAAGAAAACCTAGGAAACATTCTTCCAGACATTGGCCTAGACAAAGAATTTCTGACCAAAACCTCAAAAGCAAATAAAACAAAAACAAAAATTGACAATTTGGACTTAATTAAGCTAAAGAACTTCTGCACAACAAAAGAAACTATCAACAGAATAAACAGACAACCTATAAAATGGGAGAAAATATTTGCAAGCTATATCTGACAACAGACTATATCCAGAATCTATAAAGAACTTAAACAAATCAACAAGAAAAAAAAATCCTATTAAAAAGTGGACAAAGGATGCAAACAGACACTAATTGTTAGAGAAATACAAATCAAAACCTACAGTGAGATACCATCTCATACCAGTTAGAACGGCTATTTTTTTTTTTTTTTTTTTGAGACGGAGTCTTGCTCTGTTGCCCAGGCTGGAATGCAGTGGCGCGATCTCGGCTCACTGCAAGCTCCACCTCCTCAGTTCACGCCTAGAATGGCTATTTTTAAAAAGCCTAAAAGTAACATGTTAGCTAGGCTGTGAAGAAAAGGGAACACTGATACAATGTTGATGGGTAAATTAGTGCAGCCCCTAAGGAAAGCAGCATGGAGATTTCTCAAAGAACTAAAAATAGAACAACCATTTGATCCTGCAGTCCTGCTATTCAAAGGAAATGAGTATCTACTCAGAGGAAAAGTAATCATTCTACCAAAAACACACCTGCACTTATATATTTATTGCAGCATTATTTACCATAACCAAGATATGGAATCAATCTAGGTGCCCATCAGTGGTGGATAGGATAAAGGAAATGTGATACATATACATCATGGAATACTATGCAGCCATAAGGAAGAATTAAATCATGTTCTTTGTAACTACATGGATGTAGCTGGAGGCCATTATTATAAGTGAATTAATGCAGAAACAGAAAAGCAAATAGGACATGTTCTCACTAATATAGCCTGTCTTCAAGCTCAGTAATTATTTTTCTGCTATATCAGTTCTGCCATTCAGGCTGTGATTTTTGTCAATTGAATTTTTTCAGCTTCAGAATTTCTGCTTCATTTTTTAAAATTATTTCAATCTCTATTACATTTCTTGATAGGATTCTGAATTTCTTCTCTGTGTTATGTTGAAGTTCATTGGACTTCCTCAAAACAGTTCTTTTGAATTCTCTGCCAGAAAGATCACATATCTCTGTCCCTCTGGGATTCGTCAGCGGTGCCTGCCTTTGTTTGGTGAGGTCATATTTTCCTGGATGTTCTTGATGTTCATGGATGTTTGTTGATGTCTTGGCATTGAAGAGTTAGGTATTTATTCCAATTTTTGCAGTCTGGGCTTGTTTGTACCTATCCTTCCTGAGAAGGATTTCCGGTTATTCAAAGGGTATTGAGTGTTGTGATTGAAATATTGGGTCACTGTAACAGTATCTGCATTAGGGAATGCCCCAATACCAGTAATGCTGCAATTCTTGTAGACTCTTAGATGTATCACCTTTATGGGCTTGGATAAGATCCAGGCAAATTCCCTGGATTACCAAGTGGAGTCTCTTGTTCTCTTCCCTCACTTTGCCCCCAAAAGACAGTCTCTCTGTCTTCATCTAGGCTGCTAGGAGTTGGGGAAGGGGTGACACAAGCACCTCTGTGGCCACCAGACATTTATTTTTGCACCTATTTTTTAGTGAAGATTCACATAATAATCCTGCAGAAGAGCTGTTTGCATATTTTACATAATATTGCTTGGAGGTTTTAAAATTTAGTAAAAATAACACAAGATTTGGCATTAGAAGACCCAGATCTGAATCTCTTTTTGTACGTGCTGTGCCAGCGCCATAGAATTAGAGGTATTAGAGCCCCTGTTTCCTCATCATTGGGCTTCAGAAGGGAGGGACGCCTGTGCTCACTGTTCTGAGCACTCACACTGTGTAGTAGCCAGCCAGGTGTCTTTCACACATGCACACATTCAGGTTTTTAGGTATCTTCCCTGATGGTGCCTACAACAGCACATCTCCTTGCTCACCTTAGTCCAGGGATCTCAGTAAAATAAAAACTGTGTACCTATCTCAACAAATAGGGACTTGGAGATGCGTCCTTCTAATGCAGTGTAACTAAACCTTATTATTGAATATTTAATTTCAGAACATCTATTTGATTATTTTTCAAATTTGCTTGATAATTCTGAATAGTTTTTCTTGTCCTTTTTGACACTTAATACTCTCTCGTTTAAGAAGTGTGATGAAACTATGTATAATGTGTAGTGAATCAGTGTCAGACCATTTACATACTTGTAGCTTGTATTGATATGATTTTACCCTGGTTTGTTCTTTTGACTCTTTGGTACTGGGAATTGTTTCCTCTTCTGTGTCATATTTCTTTTTTTCACATTCCTTGGATTTTTACCTATGGGAATCTTTTGATGTCTTGTTTTCTTTTTTAAGAGTTATTTTTCTGAATAGCTAATACCTTGGCTTAATGCCAACTTGGGAATATTTTTTTCTACATTTTTGCTTGACGTTGTTGTGGACAAAGCATAAAGTATGAATTTTGATGTTAAGCACAGGTAAGAAAAATCATATTTCTAGAGCTTTTTATGGGATAACTTCTTCCCTCTCCACCAGGAGTGAAGCCTGAGAGAAGCAATTCCTACAGTATAGCTCTTTATAAAGCAAAGGTCTCCTCCACGTTCACATATTTAGCCTATTGCCTTTTAAAGGTCTAAGATTTGCATAATTTTCATTCTGGTTTCGCAGTTTTCCAGACGTCGTCTCCTGTGAACCAAGTTTAGTTCTTGGAGGCTCCCGGTCATCTATGTTCAGCTTAGCAGATACTGGCTGGCTTCAGTGCTCACATACTTTCAGGACCTGTGCAGGATCATTGCCTTTGACATTTAAGAACGTTCCTTATGCTCCTACTTGCCCAGAAAATTTTGAAATTTATTTTATTCACTATTTCTAATGCTTTATGCTGGAGTGTATTCAGGATACCTGGCTTGTCATATGGTTAGGAACAGCCATTCAAAAGCTTTCTAATGTGAAGATACCTTTGCTTTACTGGAATGAAGCTTACTGGGTTATGACAGTTATTTATTTTCTTTCTTATTCTTCACTCTCCCCTCCCTTCCTCCCTCCCTCCCTCCCTCCCTCCTTTGTTCCTTTCTTCCTTCCTTCCTTCCTTCCAGGCCTTCCTTCCTGCCTTCCTTACTGATTCGTCCTTTCTTCCTTTTCCTCCCTCTCTCTCTCTCTTCTTTTTCTTCTTTCCTTCTAACTTTGTTTTTTTTTTTAAAGTCTTTGGCTAATTTCTCGACGGAAAAAAAAATTTCTTCATAATTGTGTTTGTCTTTATTGTAAAATTATGCTATCAATGATGCTATTCTCACAAAATTGCCTAGATATTAAGCAGATGTTTAATATCTTCCTCCTCCTCCCCTAGAACAGTTTTATAAACAATAGATATTACTTTTTCTTGAGGTTTCAGTAAAAAGTACATGTAAAACTGCACAGATCTAATGTTTTGAGTGGGCAAGCTTTTATCTACCTGATTTACTTACTCTAATAACTTTGAATATATTCATGTTTTCTATTTTTTGTTTTCCTCTTTAGAGTTAGGTTTGATACATTTTATATTTTAGGAATTCATCTATTTCAACTTAAAACACATTGAATGTTATAAGATTTTTTGTAAAAAATACCTTGAGAGTTTTTTTTTTATACTTTAAGTTTTAGGGTACATGTGCAAAATGTGCAGGTTAGTTACATATGTATACACGTGCCATGTTGGTGTGCTGCACCCATTAACTCGTCATTTAACATTAGGTATATCTCCTAATGCTATCCCTCCCCCCTCCCCCCACCCCACAGCAGGCCCCGGTGTGTGATGTTCCCCTTTCTATGTCCATGTGTTCTCATTGTTCAATTCCCACCTATGAATGAGAACATGTGGTCTTTGGTTTTTTGTCCTTGAGATAGTTTGCTGAGAATGATGGTTTCCAGCTTCATCCATGTCCCTACAAAGGACATGAACTCATCCTTTTTTATGGCCGCATAGTATTCCATGGCATATATGTGCCACATTTTCTTAATCCAGTCTATTATTGTTGGACATTTGGGTTGGTTCCAAGTCTTTGCTATTGTGAATAGTGCTGCAAAAAACATAATATTTAACTTAGCTGAGGTTATAGCTCTTTTAAATTTACCATGATTTATTTGTGCTTTTCCCTTCTTTCCAATCATGATCGTGGTAGAAAATGGCTTATTTTATGCCTTTTTGAACAGGCCCTTTGTTTTTATTGGATTTCAATCTCTAGATCTGTGTTTCTCTGTATCTCTCTAATGAATTAGTTTGGTAAAATCTCTTCATTTTTTTCTTCATTCAATATTGTTTGTTTTATGTTTTTCTTTTTAATTTTTCGATTTGGACTTTCATCTTCTTCATTCCTAGTATTATCTAAGGTGCAAAATACATATGAATGCTATAAATTTTAAGTGCCTTAGCTTTATTTTACAAGTTTTGTCTTATTAGCAAAAAGTTGTTCATAACATTCTTGTAATTCCTTTAATATTATAGAATCTGTAGTGATTTTACTTATTTAATTCCTGATATTAGTACTTTGCATGTTCTCTTTTTTCCTTATCAGACTCTTTATTTCCCCATATGGAGTCATGACTCTTTCTGAATGTTCTAACTAATGGCCTTTAAATCATGAGTTGATTAAATTGCAGGCAGTATCCTGATATGGGCAGTATTGCCTCTCCTGTAAGAGTATCAGGTACAGTGACCTCTAACCTTTTCTCATCATTCTTCAACTATCTGTGTGATTTCCTCCTTTGCATACACTGATCAGTCCTCAACTGAACACTGAGGGAGACTTCAAGACACATCTCCAGAGTTCTCTTTTTTTTGCTGGTCTTTCCGGTACTCAGCTCTATGAACTGTAGTCACCTTATTTTCCCTGAACTCTCTCCTTTGTCTTTTCAACTCTAACGATCTACAGGCTCTTCTTGGGCTCCCTCTCCTTGCACTATAGCCTGAAAAGCAGTAGGGTGGGGCAGCTTTAGGACTCACCTTGTTTGTTTCTTGTCTCTCAGGGATCCTAGTTCTTTGCTTCCCAGTATCTTGTGTCTTGAAAACTTTTATTTATATATTTAGTCAAGACTTAGTATAAACTTATAGCAAACAAGACAGTGTGAAATTTGTTTAAAGACAGATAAATAGATCAGTGCAACAGAACAGAGGGTTCAGAATTAGACCCCTGCATATACAGGCAATTGAATTTTGACAAAGGTTCAAAGCCATTTTAGTGGGAAAAGAATGGACTTTACCACAAGTGTTGCTAGAACAATTAGATTTTCATGAGAAGAAAAGAAAAAGATAAAGATGAAGATAGAAGAGGAGAAGAAGAAAAAAAGGAAGGAAGAGGAGAATAAATTGGATCCATACTTCTTGACAAATTAAAAATTTAACTCCATGGTGTATATGTCCCACATTTTCTTAATCCAGTCTATCATTGTTGGACATTTGGGTTGGTTCCAAGTCTTTGTTATTGTGAATAGTGCCGCAATAAACATACGTGTGCATGTGTCTGTATAGCAGGATGATTTATAATCCTTTGGATATATACCCAGTAATGGGATGGCTGGGTCAAATGGTATTTCTAGTTCTAGATCCTTGAGGAATCGCCACACTGTCTTTCAAAATAAGAGTTCATGTCCTTTGTAGGGACATGGATGAAGCTGGAAACCATCATCCTCAGCAAACTATCGCAAGGACAAAAAAAACAAACATCGCATGTTCTCACTCATAGGTAGGAATTGAACAATGAGAAGACTTGGACACAGGAAGGGGGACATCACACACCAGGGCCTGTTGTGGGGTGGGGGGAGGGGGGGGATAGCATTCAGAGATATACCTTATGTAAATGATGAGCTAGTGGGTGCAGCACACACCAACATGGCACATGTATACATATGTAACAAACCTGCACGTTGTGCACATGTACCCTAGAACTTAAGGTATAATAAAAAAAAATTTAACTCAAAATGGATTATAGGCTTAAATGTAAAACCTAAAACTACAGCAGTTCTAAAATAATACACAGAGGAAACACTTTGTGACCTTTGGTTAGGCAAACATTTCTTAGATATAACACCAAAATCACAATCCATTAAAAATAAATTTATGAACGATTTTATCAAAATTATAATTTCTTTTTGAAAGACAGTTAAGAAAATGTAAAGATAAATCACAGACAGCAAGACAATATTTTCCAATCACATATCTAATAAAGAACTTGTATCTAGAATAAATAATTAACTCTCAAAATTCAATTACAGATTAGAAAAATGTTTGAAGATATTTTAGCAAAGTTGATTCAAGGACAATTAAGCACGTGAAAGATACTCAACATCATCAGTCATTAGGAAATGCAAATAAAGAACAGAGTGAGAAATTACTACACAACTGTTGGAATGGCCAAAATTGAAAAAGACTGATGATACCAAGTGTTCATGAGGATATGGAAGCACTTCAAAATTTGAGGGATGGCAAACTGGGCGTGGCTTATTCTTGTATCTTAACCTCATGTTTAATACCAGGTAAGTAGAGCAAAGATGACCAGAGCTAATATACAGTGATCATACCCATATATTTATACATGCATTTGTACAAACACACATATATGTAGACACATACACACATATAAAACATCTATGAGTTCACTGACTTGCCACTCAAGGGAAAATACAGCAGTAAAGAAATCCACTGAGTAATTAACTACACAGGGAACTCAGTGTTTTTAATGCTACAAAGCAGAGATTTCATGAGATTATGTTATGTATTAAAAGCTAGCACTCTTATAGGTCAGAGTTAGTCCACAGGTCTGTATAAGATTGATCAAAACAATTAATCTTATTCATTGGTCAAGAGGGAATCTCCACCTAAGTCCAGTAAGTGTCTGGGATCACCGAAAGTTAAGGGTTCAAAGTTTTGAAATAAAAAAAAAAAAAACTGGACTCATGAGCTTATCACTAAATTTTTCTTCTTGCTCCTTACTGCCAAGTTAATTAAAATTTTTTATGGTGCATGTTTAATGTATGTTATGAAAAAAGAAAACCTTAGGCTCAAATAAAAAAAGAAATCTGTCATCTATAAGAATTGTACTTCAGAGTAAGAAGAGAATGTGAAATTCTCCCTTGGTGGGGCAAAGAAGGTCTTGTCGATAGGGGAAAACAGACCAAGTGAAAGATAAGGAAAATAGATTATGGCACCTGATGAGGAGGGGCAAATGCACCATGCAGCCATAAATTAGCCAACTTCAGAAATGCTATTTGGAGGAAGTACTGGTAGCATATGGAGATGCAGGAACTAAATTTCTAGTCAACAGACTGCCACAGAGACAGGCATCTTTCCATGTGTTTTCCAAATAATTTTGAGTTAAGAGCAAACACTGCTAGCAGATTGAGTGTGTAAGTATTCTCTGATATTTTATCTCTTTCCTCATTCAATCAGTCAGTTGGTCAATAAATATGTATGAAGCTACCACAGAGTGCATTACCTGATTGAGGTTCTGAGATTTTCAAAGGATTTCAAAATACTGTTTTAGTCCTTAGGAATATTAAAATTCAAGAAAAAGAAAGTAGTTATAAATAAACATATCTGTATTTTTTACAACAATTATTTGAAGTCTCAGATTTGGAAGGCACCTTCATAGTCACAACCCAAAGTCATTTCCAAAATGTGTGGCTGGTTATACACTCACCCCAGAGGGTATCTGAGGATACCCTTTGCCAAGAGAAAAAAAAATATTGAACTATCTACTTCTGGTGATTTTTAAAATGTGCTCCTTTGAATGTACATGTGGTCATTTTATAATCATTGCAACATTTTATTGTAAGAAAACACAACCACAAATACACACACACACACATACACATTGCAGATGGATGCTCAAATTTATGGAAAGTTGTGCTTAATTTTCAAAGTTTACAAACTACATATATAATTTCCCTTCATTAGCGTTTTCAGTATTGTGCACTGCAGCCTTAAATAATCACCCTGCAGACTATAATAAAAGAAAAAGTCCAGTGATCAATGCATCACTGTTTCTGACCTTAAATGGCCTTGTCATGTAGACATCACACATGAACATTCTCTGTAATATTTGCTGATGTCTAGGCAGATTAGGTTTTCCTGTACATTTTCCTTTTCCTATTCTAGTCTTCTGTTCAAAGAGAAATGAGTTAGTGTGATGGTGACTAATTGAACTCAAATTACATCCTAATGATTGTTGGTTCTATGCTAAGGGACTCACAACATTTATTAGTGATCTACTCTTTAGTCTTATATATGGTCAAATCACAATTTCATTCATCTCTGTATGTGCCACTGTCAGTATTGTTATTATTACTATTATTCTATAAACTGGTTAGTACAGCCAAATAAGCATTCAGTGAGTGGTAAATGTTGTTATTATCATTGAATATTCACGCCTAAAAAGTGGTCATTTGTTCTGCTTTTGCTAAAGTTAAGAACTCATTTTGTTGTTCCCAGAAATTTTATAATGTCTGCCAATTTACACTTTTCAAGTATTCTTAAGGTTTATTTAATATTCTTTTATTCTACCTGGACTATACTTCTTTAAAAACTTCACTGATAGATAAATCTTTTACAGATATTACCTGAGGGTACTCTTTGATTCTATTTGAGTGCTTCTAATGTAACAACTTTATTTTCTTGGGGGTCCTCCAACTTCTCTTTCATTTATTATCTTTTGTACCATCAAAAGCATACTTCTAACATTTAAAAAATACTTTTGTATTTCACGATCTCTTTCTTTTGTGATAAAACTTATTTTCAGTCACAGGGCTTTTTTCTTGGTTTTGTCTTACTTTTTGGCACCTGCTTTCCATAAATTTGAGATGCACATTGGATCATGTTTGGCCTGAATACTAAGGTAACTTAATTCCTTTTTCTCAATGATTTTTTTTCCATTTTTTGTTAACCCACTGGGGACTTTTTTAAGCCTTATGAGATATTCTTAGTGCTGTAAGAATGGTTTCTCTAGTTTTCTATTAATTCTGAATAAAGTAAAACATGTAGAAATGCAGTCTGGGGCCTCTCCAGTTCATATACCTCGTACCTGCTCAGTTTGAGGACCCAGGCCACAAATTGACCTTCATTGGCTACAGAAATACAGATTCACAAGTAACCTTTGCTGATCATGTTTTGTTAAGAGTCCATAACTTAAGTGATCTTGCATGAAAAAACAGCTTATTTTATTGGAAAAGTTAGAATGAGGAGCTTGCATAAGAATATTCTGAACAAATCCTAAGAATCAGAAACAAATTCATGTATCATTAGGGATGGACTCTGATATGGTTTGGCTGTGTCCCTACGTGTCCGGAATTGGTGGGTTGTTGGTCTTTCTTTTTTTTTTTCTTTTTTTTTTTTTTTTTGAGACGGAGTCTCGCTCTGTCGCCCAGGCCGGACTGCGGACTGCAGTGGCGCAATCTCGGCTCACTGCAAGCTCCGCTTCCCGGGTTCACGCCATTCTCCTGCCTCAGCCTCCCCAGTAGCTGGGACTACAGGCGCCCACCACCGCGCCCGGCTAATTTTTTGTATTTTTAGTAGAGACGGAGTTTCACCTTTTTAGCCAGGATGGTCTCGATCTCCTGACCTCATGATCCACCCGCCTCGGCCTCCCAAAGTGCTGGGATTACAGGCGTGAGCCACCGCGCCCGGCCTTGTTGGTCTTTCTGACTTCAAGAATGAAGCTGCGGAACCTCGCGGTGAGTGCTGCAGTTCTTAAAGGTGGCATGTCCGGACTTGGTTCCTTCTGATGTTCGGAGGTGTTCGGAGTTTCTTCCTTCTGGTGGGTTTGCGGTCTTGTTGGCTCAGGAGTGAAGCTGCAGACCTTCGTGGTGAGTGTTGCAGCTCATAAAGGCAGCGTGGACCCAAAGAGTGAGCAGCAGCAAGATTTATTGCAAAGAGCAAAAGAACAAAGCTTCCACAGTGTGGAAAGGGACCGGAGTGGGTTGCCTCTGCTGGCTTGGGCAGCCTGCTTTTATTCTCTTATCTGGCCCCACCCACATCCTGATGATTGGTCCATTTTACAGAGAGCTGAGTGGTCTGTTTTGACAGGGTGCTGATTGGTGCGTTTACAATCCCTGAGCTAGACACAAAGGTTCCCCACGTCCCCACTAGATTAGCTACATACAGAGTGTGGACACAAAGGTTCTTCAAGTCCCCACCAGAGTAGCTAGATATAGTGTCGATTGGTGCATTCACAAACCCTGAGCCAGACACAGGGTGCTGATTGGTGTGTTTACAAACCTTGAGCTAGACACAGAGTGCCCATTGGTGTATTTACAATCCCCTAGCTAGACATAAAGGTTCTCCAAGTCCCCACCAAACTCAGAAGCCCAGTTGGATTCACCCAGTGGATCCTGCACTGGAGCTGCAGGTGGAGCTGCCTGCCAGTCCCACATCATGGGCCCACACTCCTCAGCCCTTAGGCAGAGTGGAGCGGGGGTCAGCACTCGTTCGGGAGGCTTGGGCCACACAGGAGCCCACGGAGTGTGGTGGAGGGAGGCTCAGGCATGGCGGGCTGCAGTCCCGAGCCCTGCCCCTCGGGAAGGCAGCTAAGGCCCAGTGAGAAATTGAGCACAGCAGCTGTTGGCCCAGGTGCTAAGCCCCTCACTGCCGGAGGCCGGCAGGGCCGGCCACTCCGAGTGCGGGGCCCGCCGAGCCCATGCCCACCCAGAACTCAGGCTGGCCGGCAAGCACAGCGTGCAGCCCTGGTTCCCGCCTGCACCTCTTCCTCTACACCTCCCGCAAGCTGAGGGAGCTGGCTCCAGCCTTGGCCAGCCCAGAAAGGGGCCCCCACAGTGCAGCGGTGGGCTGAAGGGCTCCTTAAGTGCCACCAAGGTGGGCACCAAGGCCAAGGAGGCGCTGAGAGCCAGCGAGGGCTGTGAGGGCTGCCAGCACGCTGTCACCTCTCACCTACAGAAATCTCATCTTGAATTTTAACTCCCACAATTCCCACTTGTCGTGGGAGGAACCTGGTGGATGGTTATTGAATCATGGGGTGGGTCTTTCTTATGCCGTTCTCATGATAGTGAATAAGTCTCGCCAGATCTGATGTTTTTATACAGAAGAGTTCTCCTGCCCAAGCTCTCTCTTGCCTGCCACCATATAAGACATGACATTGCTGTTCACCTTCAGCCATGATTGTGAGGCCTCATCAGCCATGTGGAACTGTGAGTCAATTAAACCTCTTTTCTTCATAAATTACCCAGTCTCCGGTATGTCTTTATTAGCATTGTGAGAACAGACTAATACAGACTCTAAACCATATCTCTGTAATGAGGCTGACAGGCTGGATGGTAAGCCAATAGTTGCCTTTCATGGGAGCATAGGTATCAGTGTTCCCTCCCATGGGAGTGTAGGTATCAGTTCCCTCCAGACAAGGAAGTTATCTTACATGTTCCCTGTGTTTGTTTCTTCTGGAGCAGCTACTGAAAAGAACCCTGTGGTCAGAGCTATCTGCACTTTCCTTATAAAGGGAGGCACACACACAAAGCTTTATTCAAATACAGGCTCTAATACTCATTCTCACCTTGCTTGAATTATTTGGTGTCCTCATATATAAACTGGAGATTATAGTATTGATTTTGTACTCTAGACTTCATAATCTTGTGAAAAATAAAGAACTATAAGTTAAGGCCCTTCCAAATTCTCTGGTATAGTTTCAACAATTGCACTTTCCCTTTACTCTGTGGATGTTAGGGTCTGACTTAAAGACCATTTGTTTCTAAGCATGGGGCAAGAGGCTATATCTGCTAACATTTTCTCACTGTCCATGCGGAAAAATAGAAACCACTGGTAATAACAGTCACAGATGTACATGGAGGAATTTTCTTTGGGAAGCTCAATGGTAAAAGACAGAAATGGTGGCCATTGTCTTTTGAGTGTCCTCACTGTCAATAAGTTAGTTCAAACACTAAGGCAGCATTCCTTACATTTTACTTATTATTTAAATCAGACTATTAAGTGCATAGTGAATTACAAAAATTATTCCTGAATATTGGTGCAACCAATATGTACACAGAACTGAGAGACCATACAAAATTAAATTATTCAGATTCATTCTGTCAAAGGATGTTTTGTGCAATTTAGGGACTAGGAGAGCCTTAGGGAGAAGTTCAGCTGAGATAACTGTATCTACTCCTGCTTTCATCTGAATTTCTAGAACCTCTTTTGTCTAAAGATAGTCTTCTGTGCCAATTCTTAACCCAAATTTTTAATTTTAATATTCTCCATTAGAATATCTTTTGACAAAAAGATACTTTTGCTTTCTACACTGCAAATAATTTTTAGCACAAATGTGATCATATTCCATGTCTGCTTTACAAAGTTCAGTGACTTTTTAAACCTCTGAATACCTTAAAATCTTGTCATTTTTTATCTTTATATCTTCATCTCTGCTTTCCTCATCTCATGATATGCACTTCAGACACACTGCGCTTGTATGCTTCATATTTTTTGAAGTGAATGATCTAATCCTCACAAAAAACCTTTCAATTTGCTATTAAGTTTTTATTATATATTAGGGAAATTAAATACCAGCAGGTTTAGATTATTTCCCTAATTATTATAATAATGATGACACTTTTTCTGAATCTGTCAAGGCCTTGGAAGTTTAATTCTTCCCACACTAAATTACACAAACAAGAGAAGCTAGTACTGGGAATGACTTCCAGAATGTTGATGCATGGAACTTATATTAATATGCTCTTACATAAAAGCAGTAAAAACACTTTCAAAGTGTTTTGAAATAAACTTTTTCGGAACTCTAGATATTAATCACAGGCTTCTAACAATCTGAAGAGCATTTACTCATAAAAATCTTGCTGTACCAGAATAAAAATAAAGAGGTGTGTGGCTCTGTTGACCTCTTCCCATCTCTCTTTCCCAGTGTCACTGAAGCCTGAAAAACTAGAAGTCTTACTACTCCTAGCATGGACAGGCTTAGAGCTCTTCAGAAATCCCATTATCACAGCATCAATATCACAGCTCTTGAAAACACTGTTTTTAGATCACTTATTTAACCTGTGATACCGATAGGAAACAAAGGCCTAATAAAAAATTTGTAGGAAAGACCTGGGAAAGAGGTATCTATTGAGGGCTGTATAAAGCTCTTACCTCTCACCTCTAACTGACCTTAGGGTCTTGTGCAAGTAGGAAGTGCAGGCTAAGGCAGAGTCATAAATTAAACATGTAAAGAATGCACCAACATTGTAGGCCCTCGGGTTGAAAACTTATTTGTTCAAGATGCTCAAGAAAATATCTGGCCAATTACTAGCTGACCATCAAGCTAACTAAGCAGAAACTTCAGTGGCTACACATTACAAAGAACATAGTCTTTATAGACTTAATACAGGAAAGTGCCTAAACAAACACACAACAGCCAGAAAAATAAAAACAAAAACAAAACATTAACAACAAACAAAAGCAAAATAAAAAACAACAATACAACAACAAGAAATACAGCAACAACATCAAAGCCTATAAAAGAGGGGGTATGATATAATTTGAGTTGTCACATTATATAAATTGAAAGGTCCGCTTTTGAACAATAAATTATATTTATGAGACTTGCAAAGCAACAAGATTTTTAAAAAACTGTCCCTGAGAGGGCCCAAATTTGGACTGACTAGAAAATGATATTAAATCCACAATTATAAGTATGTTCAAAGAACTAAAGGAAACTATGCCTAGAGAACTAAAGGACAACATCACATGATGTCTCATTAGGTTCAAAATGTCATGAAATAGATCAAAATTATACAGAAGAACCAACTAGAAATTCTGTATTCAAAAAGAACAACACAGAAAATTAAAAACTTACTATATGGGAGAGCAACAACACATGTGAGCTTAAAGAAGAAAGAATCAGTAAACCTAAAGATAGATCAATTAAAATTATCTACTCTGAAGAACAGAGAAGAAAAGTAATAAACAAATATTATTAGAGCTTCAGAAGCCTTTAGGACATCCTAGCACTTTGGGACCCTGAGGCAGGCAGATCACCAGAGTTCAGGAGTTCAAGACCAGCCTGGCCAACATGGTGAAACCTTGTCTATACTAAAAATACAGAAATTTGCCAGGTGTGATGGCAGGTGCCTGTAATCCCAGCTACTCAAGAGGCCAAGGCAGGAGAATCACTTGAACCTGGAAGGCTGAGGTTTCAGTGAGCCAAGATCAGGCCATTGTACGCCAGCCTGGGCAACAAGAGCAAGACTCTGTCTCGAAACAACAACAACAACGACGACGACAACAAAAAAAAAAACAAAACAAGCAACAACAATAACAACAAAAAGCAAACAAAATCTAATACATTCAGAAGAAAGGAACTGATGAAGATTTGAGTGCAAAAAAGTAAGATAGAGCAGACAAAAATAATAGAATCATTAAAAAAATCAAAAGTTATTTGAAAAAAATCTATGAAATCTATAAACTTTTAGACTCAGCAAGAAGTGAACAGGTAAGACTCAAATTACTAAAATTAGGAATGAAATAAGGGTCATCACTACCAACTTAGAGAAAAAAATAAGAGACTACTATATATAACTGAATGCCAACAAATTAGAAACTTAGATAAAATAGACAAATTTATAGAATGACATAAAGAACCCAAAGTGACTCAAGAAGAAATGAAAAATAGGAATACGTCTAGAAAAATGTTAAGAGATTGAATTAGTAATTGTTAAACTTCACAAAGAATAGCCCAGGTACATTTTGCATTACTAGTGAACTCTACAAAACACTTGAAGAACTGAGAGCAATTGTTATGGACTGAATACATGGAACCACCCAGCTTTTACAGGTCAATGCACTGACCCCCAGTATAGCTGTATTTTGGGTAATGAAATGATTAAGTTTAAATGAAGACATAAAGATGGAACCCTATCTGATAGGATTAGGGTTCTTATAAAACGAGACAACAGAGAACCTGCTATAGTTCTCTTACCCCGTAAGCACAGAGAAAAGGCCATTGGAGGACATATTTAGAAGTCACTCTTCAAGTCAGAAAGAGAGCCCTGATGAGAAAATGAATTTGCAAGCAACTTGATCATATGCTCCTAAATTCCAGAACTGAGAGAGAATTAATTTCTTCTGGTAAAGTCAGTCAGTCTGTGATTTTTTTTTAAGGAATCCTAAACAGACTAATCCACCATTTTCTCACAAAATCTTCCAAAAAATAGAAAGAATGGATCTTTGTCAAACTCATTATATGAGCCCAATATTACATTGATATCAAAACAGATAAAAACATAAAAATAAAAAAAGCCTGGGAAAACACTATCCCTTATGAATATACACACAACAATCCTCACTGATGTACTAGAAAACCAAATCCAGCAACATATTAAAAATTACACCCCAGGGCCAAGTGAGATTTATCTTAGGAATGCAAAGACTACTGTTTCTTTCCTTACGGTGCCCTTGGCTGTAGTATTAGGGTAATTTTGAGCCCATATAAAAGTTTGACTATTCTACTATAGAAAGTTTACTATTGAAGTCTATTATTGCATTGTCATCTATTTCTTTCTTCAGTTCTGCCACTCTTTGCTTTACATTTTTAGGTACTCTAATGTTAGGTACATATATATTTACAATTATTATATCTGCCTGGAAAATTGACTTTTTATTATTATGTAATGCCCTTCTGTTCTCATTGATTATTTTTACTTAAAATCTATCTTGTCTGATATAATTATAGCTACCCCACTCTGTTTTTGCTATTATTTACATATATTTTTCCTTTCCTTGCCTTTCAGCCTATGTGTGTTCTTAAAGCTAAAGTGAGTTTCTTATAGATAATATATGGTGTGGTTTTGTTTGTCTTAATCCATTCAGCTACTCTATATCTTTTTATTGGGAGTTCACATTTAAAGTGATATTGAGATAAAAGGATTTACTAATGCTATTTTGTTAGTTGTTGCTGCTTGTCTCATGGTTCTTTTGTCTGCTTTTCTCTCTCATTCCATCTTTTTCCCATTTTTGAGTTTTGGCATTGATGTGCTTTGATTTCTTTCTATTTTCATTTTGTGTGATGTCTATAGTTATTATTTTATCATTACCTTTAGGCTTACATACAATATCTTATAGTTATAACACCCAAAGCTGATAACAACTTAAGTTCAATCACATACAAAATCTCTAAACTTTAACTTCCTCCCCATACTTTGTGGTACTATTGTCATGATTTGTATGTATTCTTTTAATATATTTTATAGTTATTTTTAATACTTTTACATTTCAACATTTATACTAGAATTAATAATGATTTATACCCATTACCACTACAATAATATGGTATTCTGCATTTCTTATATATTAACCTTTATTAATGAGTTTCATACTTCTTAGGCTACTGTGTTGCTGTTTTGTGTCCTTTCACTTCAACTTGAGAAACTCACGTTAGCGTTTTTTAAGCCATGTCTGGTAATGATGATTTCCCTCAGCTATTCTCTGTCTGTGTAAATCTTAATCTATCCTTCAGCTTTAAAGGATAGTTTCGTAGGGCATAGTATTCTTGGTTGATAGTTGTTTACTTTTAGCATTTTTAATATGCAATCCTACTCTCTCACCACCTGTAAAGTTTCTGCAGAAAAATCCACTAGTGGTATTATTGATGTTTCCTCATGTGATAAATTGCTTTTCTCTTATGGCTTTCAGAAAATTTTCAGTTAAGTTATTGTACTTCAGTTCTATGACTTCTATATGGTACTTTAAAATATGTTCTATCTCTGTTGGCAGTCTCACTTTGCTTATGCACTTTTTGATATCAATAAGATTCTTTATGCCAGTTATTTTGAGTTATCTGTTAGATATATCATATAAATCATTTTTATTAGAGTTTGCTTTTGGAGATTTATCTTGCTGGTTTTTTAAAACATCATTGCCTGGGTCCTCATTGTCTTGAAACTCTTCATTGGTGACTGTATATTAGACAAAGCAGATAGCTCATCCAATTTTCAGAAACCGACTTTGTAGAGAAGAAGTTTCCCAACAATAAGCTCAACCAGAGATTCTGGAGTCTCTAAGTTTCTAACAACTCCTTCCTTTTCTAGGGAGAAGCAGGCAGCTGTTGACATTTTTGTTGTTGTTGTTGTTGTTGTTGGCTTAATCTGTGCTGAGCTGGTTTTGTGGTGGGCAGGGGTGGATTTTGGTGTTTACCAGTCTAAATCTCCATCTCTATTTCTCCATTGTCGTTCAGGCAGCCAGACTCTGCTGGACCCATCAGAGTTCTAAGACCAGGAAGACAATGCTAATTATCTGTACAGCCCTGGAGAAATTAAGACATGAGATACATGGATCAACTCTCTCCCCAGGACGTAACTGAGATATGGGATTTTTCATTTGCAGCACTCTCTGCTGACCAAGTGAGAAGATCTACAACATCAATCAGCTCAAACTTCTATCTCTACTCTCTTTCATATGGCTAAACTGTGCTGGTCTTGTCTGAGTTTTAAGGCTGAAAAGAAAGAAGCCAGTCCTCTGGGGAGCCACCTTGGAAAATTGGGGCACTAGACATGCAACCAACCCCTTTCCTCCCCAGAGAGAAGCTGGGAGGTAAGGGATGTCATCTTGATTTTGCAATGCTGTGCCAGGGATAGAGATTCTAGCAAGAGGGAATCGTATCCTGAATCTCCCTACGAGTTTTGGTCAGTTTAGTTTTAGCTTCTCTTGGAGTGCATAAACTCGTAAATTAGTTTCAAGATTTCTCAAAAAGGTAAAAATGTCCATGAAGTGTTACTGGATCAATGTGTTTGTTGGGGAAAGGAGCGCCCAGAGCTTCCTACTCTGCCATCTTTCTGATGCCACCTCAACCAAAGCATTTTTGGAAGATATAAAAATATTAGAGAATGCACACTTCTCAATTTCAAAACTTACTACCAAGCCATAGTGTGTCTGGAATTGGTTCCTTCTGGTGGGTTCTTGGTCTCGCTGATTTCAAGAATGAAGCTGCAGATCCTCGCGGTGAGTTTTACAGTTCTTAAAGATGGTGTGTCCAGAGTTTGTTCCTTCAGATGTTCAGATGTGTCCAGAGTTGTTCATTCCTCCTGGTGGGTTCGAGGTCTCGCTGACTTCAGGAGTGAAGCCGCAGACCTTCGCAGTGAGTGTTACAGCTCTTAAAGTTGGTGCGTCTGGAGTTGTTTGTTGCTCCCAGTGGGTTCATGGTCTGGCTGGCTTCAGGAGTGAAGCTGCAGACCTCTGTGGTGAGGGTTACAGCTCATGAAGGTACTGTGGACTCAGAGTGAGCAGCAACAAGATTTATTGCAAAGAGTGAAAGTGCAAAGCTTCCAAAGCATGGAAGGGAACCCTAGCGGGTTGCTGCTACTGGCTGGGGTAGCCACCTTTGACTCCCTTATTTGGCCCCGCCCATGTCCTGCTGATTGGTCCATTTTACAGAGTGCTGATTGGTCCAATTTACAGAGTGCTGATTGGTGCATTTACAAACCTTTAGCTAGACACAGAGCACTGATTGATGTGTTTACAATCCTTTGGCTAGACAGAAAAGTTCTCCAAGTCCCCACCTGACCCAGAAGCCCAGCTGGCTTCATCTCTCAATAGTACCAGAGAAAAAGCAGTCCTAGAATAGGATAGACATATACATCAATAGAATATAATTAAGAGTTTAGAAATAAACCCTTACCTTTATGGTCAATGGATTATCAATAACGGTGTCAAGATCTTTCAATGGTGAAAAAATAGTCTTCAACAAATGGCACTAAGAAAACCGTATAAAAGCATATAAACATGAAGCTCCACTCATACCTCACACCATACACAAAAAGTAAACTAAAATAGGTAAAGACCTAAATATATTAGCTAAAATAATAAACTCCGAGAAGAAAACAGCAGTAAATCTTCCTGACTTTGGATCCAGTAATTGTTTCTTAGAGGTAATACCAAAAGTACAAGCAACCCAAGATAAATAGATAAATTGAACTTCATTAAACAAGCAAGCAAACAAACAAACAAAAAGGTTGTGTTACAAATAATACCATCAATAAAGTGAAAAGACAGTCTACAAAATGGGACAGCATATTATCATTTACACAGCACATGTATCCAGAATATATAAA
Organism: Homo sapiens; assembly: GCF_000001405.40. Taxonomy (NCBI): domain Eukaryota; kingdom Metazoa; phylum Chordata; class Mammalia; order Primates; family Hominidae; genus Homo; species Homo sapiens. Next base: position 49,445,357 of record NC_000007.14, on the reverse strand, counting down.
AACCTTTGCAATTGAACTAATTGTAAATAACCCAATTAAAACATGAGCAAGGATATGAATAGTTATTTCTCCATAACATATATACAAATATCCAATAGCACATGAAAAGATACTTGGTTTCATTAGCTGTTATGGAAATGCAAATCAAAATTATACTGGGGATACCACTTTATACCCACTAGGCTAACTATAATAATAAAACAACAAAACCCCAGGTTACTTATTACAAGTGTTGGTGAGGATGTAGAGAAATTGAAACCCTCAAATGCTGTTGGTAAGAATGTATACTGGTACAATTTTAGACAAGTTTGACAATTCCTCAAGATAAGGAACTAAATATTATCATATGACCCAATAATTCTACTCCTAAGTATTTATTCAAGAGAAATGAAACAATACATCCACCTAAAAACTTGTAAGTGAATCTTCAGAGTAACATTATTCATAATAGAAAAGAAGTGGAAACAACCCAAATGTCCATCCACTGATGAGTGGATAAATAAAAGTGGCACATCTACACAATGGAATATTATTCATCCATAGCAGGAAACGAATGAGTACTGATACATGCTACAATATAAACTTTGAAAACACTATGTGATGGAAACTAGATACAAAAATACATATATTGCATAAGTCCATTTATATGAAGTTTCCAGAACAGGCAAATCTGTAGAGACAGAAAGTAGGTTAGTACTTGCTAGGCTGGAGATAGGACGAAGAGAGACTGCTAAAGGATTCTGGTTTTGGGGGAAGGGGTGATGAATATGATCTAAAAATAGAATGCACTGATAATCAGATACTCTGTGTATATATTAAAAACAAAAATTGTATACCTTTAGTGGGTAAGTTTTGTAATATCTGAATTAAATCTTAATAAAGCTGTTCCAACACACACCACACACACACACACACACACACACACACACACACACACACACCCCAGAACTATTTGAAGTCACTCATTAAGTTTTGAAAAGCAATGGTAAATTGCTAGGTTTCAGTAACTTATATTAAGTTCCTGAATTTGAGGACTTCAATCCCCAAGTCTTGCTCAGATCATTTTTGCTGTTGTTGGGAGAGTTATAAGTCCCAGGAGTCAGTGAGAGGAGGGCTGCAAGTGTTCCATCAGCCTGATACATTCACTTTACCAGTGTTTCTAAGCTCTGTCTTTCCCTTTTGTGTAAAAGCTAGCTCTGAAAACATTGCTTTTTGAAACATCTGTAATAAATATAACAGTTTTACTGATGTTATGGGTGCTTTTGTGCAATTCAAATCATTTAGTGATCCTACATTTTATGGCCTGAGCTAAAACCCAGAGATATACATGCATAAGTTGGCTATGAGGGACTTCCATTCCTTTGTCGCTTTTCCAGTTAGAGGCTTTAACATCTGACAAGCACAGTGGGGAAATATATCTACTTATATCTCTTTTTGTCAAGGGAACACTGATAACTAAAAAGGGTGGATTCTTTAACCTAATCCCTGGAAGTTCATTACTACTGGGGTACAGGGTAAGGTGGATAGTTGAAAAGGCCAAAAGAAAATTCTTTGAATGTCATTTATTTAACCACAGGGTAGCCAGTGCTGCCTCTCTTTCAACTCTATTTTTAATTCTTGTGGTTACCACAAAGTGACCTTTTAGGCGTTGATAGATTCCATAGCAGAAGCAGCAGAAGCACTAGAAATGGTCATGTCATAGGACTTGCTTGGTGATTGTGCCCCACCCCGGTCAGGTGTATGGGATTTCTCTGGAGTCTGTGCTCCCACCAAGTACCAGATCTAAGAATCCAGTGAATATTTTCCTTTGAAACCAACAAAAAATACTGTGTAAAACAGATAACTTCTTAACAATTTATCCAAAATGTAGTCCCACTAGCTGACATCAGAGGAGCCCTGGGTGGATGTGACCAAAGAAACAAGAACCTGGTAGAAGCAACTTAGATGTTTCTGAACCAGAGATGTGAATCCCAGGTATAGAGACCTCACAATGCAAATTCCTTTCATGAGATGAGTAGGTATCTGAAGGACTCTTAAGTATTGTGTCGGTCTCTGCAATAAGGCTGAGTGCTGAGTAGAAGGAACTGCATGGAGAGGTTCAGGGAGGGTGTCACTGGAAGTCCTTTCTTCAGGGTTTGTATTTCTACCTATGAACAGAACTAAAATAGAGCAACCATTATAAATTAAGACTCATGTATGAATTAATTGACCAGGGTCAATATCTTAGAAATTTAATTCTTAAACTTTACAGATGATCCATTCCTTTTATTCAGCTTATCACTCTATTTACATAGAAAAATGAGGAAAATTACCCATATCTTAAATGTTTTTCAGTGGGTGAATGTGGGTGCCATCTCGAGTTTCTGGTGGGGAGATGAGGAGGATGTGCTACATTCTGTAACCAGGCTTGCAGGTGAATATTCTAAGGGATAGAGTGTATAGTGGTGGTGGTGTACAAGGAAAGCAAGTGAGAGGCTTTCTGAGGTCTGCCACAAAAGAGGAGAGGAGGCTCACCTGGCATGAGACTCTCCACTGATTGTCCCTGCATATAATTATATGTTAAAGGCTGGGTGGGGGGTGGGAGAGGGGGTGCTGAATGAGAAATGCTCAACTCCAAATGCTTAACTCCAAACCTCTCATTTGACAGCAGAGAGAAAAAATGACTGAAGTTTCCAGAAGAAATGGGATTTACTGATATTTGTCATACTATTTAGTCAGATACAATACCTGACTCAAGAATATGATTGGTGAGTTATACTCTCTTTACAGCATCCAAGTGCTGGGCTCTGAGAATGGACTAAGACCTAATCTCAGGCCACAGCTTCAGAGAATATGGCAACAGTGCGAATTGTCCTTCATTCCACTTTTCATCCACTTGGGTCGAGCCCCCTAAGGTAAGATACCGCTGCCACAGGAACTCTTCCTTCTAAACCTTTATTACAAAGAAGAACAAGAACTTCTCCATTTCTCCCATTCCACAACCACACAACAAGGAATGTATAAGTATATACCTAGAATACACAGGGTAACTTTCTGACACTTAGTCCAGGGCCATAGTATCTGCCTAACTGGAAGAATGGGAAGAGATTGCTCTAGATGCCTCAAAACAAAACAAAACCATAGCAGTCTTGTAACAAAGGACATCTTGCATTTCTGAACTAGGTAAAGGCAATAAGAAAAGATAAAAGAGGGCCAGACTGACTTGCTTTTTTTCTAGAACATGGCATGAGAAAAAAATGATTATTTTTCTGAAGTCAAATCTTTGGCCTAGTTGTTAATAAAAATTCATTTCAGGTACTTTGAAGGTTAAGTCCTAATTTTCAATATTGCTGGAATATTTTTTGTCTCTTTCTGTTTCTACAGGGGTATCTTTTTAACAACCTGTGGGAATCAGTGTCAGAACTGTGAGTCAGATGTCATTTAAACCAGAGAATCAATATGTATTGTTCTAAAGCAATAGCTTCACGTATATCCTGCATTTAAATGAGCTATACTGTGATTTCTATGAAAGTGAGGGCACTGGTTAATTTGCAACATAAGGTAATGATCTCTATCAGGGAAAAATAAAATCTGATACTTTAAAATAACTAGTGATGAAAAATTACATTAAAGGACTTGACACCAACTTTGCTAGTGTTGTATCTGTTTCCATAGGAACAGTAGAAAGAGCCAAAGCCTAAGGTGAGTTTGGGTGGATAAGGTGGTCCCTATAATCTTTCCTAAGTGTATTCTTTAATTCAATTCTGTAGCTAGCAGACATCAGAACTCTACAGATTAATATTTTAAATAATAACCTTGTGATAAATATTTTAAATAATAACCTTGTGATAACTATGTGAACTGTAATAATTTGGAACTTCTTTCTCTCTTTTTTTTTTTAATGCAACAACAATAACTACCTGGGCATGTGGGAAAGAGCAGAAAGTATGACCTGGTGCAGTCAAATGTCAAATAAAGTTTATGACAACTCAAATGTGCTACAAAGCATATAATGACCCAATATGGAGGTGGAAGAAAGGGTAAAACAGGAAATCTGAGCAGCTAAGGTGCATGATGTCAGACAGGTGGTAGTTGTTGGCTTCATTCCAGACTGAAGAAATAGAGGGTTATGATCCAAATTATTTTGGGGAGCACTACTTATCAAGATGAGCTCTACAGGATGTCTGGTCACCACTCAGGTAACTATTATGATGAATAGTCCAATATTCTCTGGAGCTGCTGGCCTGAGATGAGGTTTTAATCCATCATTCGCAGCATCCAACACTTACGTCTTCAAAGTGAGGGCTGTGCAGGGAACTCAACTGGATAACAGGAAAAAAAATAAGAATTTCTATTTGTATCTACTTTCTCTTTTAAAACTTCTTTTAAAACCTATTATTTGTATATGTTCTTGTTTTGTTCAGCACATTTATTTACATATAATAAATATAATCTGTTTATAATTAATTTTAAGTGTATCTACAGTTCAATAAGTTTTAAGAAATACATGAGTCACTGCTACAATCAGGATACAGAATATTTTCATCATTCCAACAACTACCCTTGTGCCCTTTCCCAGTCAGTACACACCCCACCAACTTCCAATTAATCATTGTTCTGTTTTCCGGCACTAGAGAATAGATTTGCTTTTTCTAAAATTTCATAGAAGAGAAATCAAACAACCTGCCTTCTTTTGTGTTTGGCTTCATTCTCTAGCATAATGTTTCTAACCTCACCATAATAATGTCCTCACCAACACAAGATATTGCTAATCTTTTAAATGTAGTCATACTACTGAGTGTGCAGCGGAACTCACTGTGTTTTTAATTTGAATCTTTGATGAGTCACAATGTGGAGCTTCTGTTCATGTACTTATTGAATTTTCACATATCTTATTTTGTAAGGTGTTTGCTCAAAATTTTGTTTATATTTCACTGGAATTATTATGGAGTTGTGAAGAAGAGTTCTTTTTTTATCACATATACTTTGCAAATATTTTCTCCTTTTCTATGGCTTACTTTTTTTCTTTTTTAGTAGCATCTTTTGAAGAGCGAAAGTTTTCAATTTTGATACAATTCACGTATCATGTCTTTATTGTTACGCTTTTTGTGTCAGATGTAAGAAATTTTTCTCTAGCCCAAGTTCACAAAGATTTTCTAACTGGTTAATGGCTACTGAACAGTGCTTGCTCTTGGGGACATCAGTTGGTATAATAATTTGGAGGTGATTGCTTATATCTGTTAGAAATAACTTGACTGCTCTCATTTTCACCTACTTGGTGATGTTTCTTGATAAAGAATGTTTTATTTTAATAAAGTGTAATTTATTAATATTTTATTTCACTGTTGATGTTTTGCTGTCCTGTTTACAAAATACATACATCAAGTAAATATTAATTTATATCTTTAAACTTGATGATATTACTTTTCCTACATTGATTTCAAAAGCACCTGAAATACAGTCTTCTGTGATATGATCTAGAAGTCAAGCTCATTTTTCTCCACATTGATATCCAGTGGACCCTATATCATGTATTGAAGAGAACAGCCTTTGCCACTGCTCTGATGTGCCATCTTAGTCAGGGACAAGTGTCAATCCTTATGTGGCTCTGTTTCTGGGTTCTCCACTGTATTCCAGTGGAGTATTTGCCAACTAGGTAGTCAAAACCACAGTGTCTTTACCGTGGCTTAATAAGTCTTGATGTTTAGTAAAGCAAGTTCCCCTATCATGTTCTTTTTCACTAAGATTGTCTAGGCTTTTCTTGGTCCTTTGCATTTGCATGCGAATCTTGTAATAGCTTTTCTATTTCTGTAAATAGAGACCTACTAATATCTTCATCTGGATTGACTTTAATTTATAAATTAGTTTGACAAAAATTGAATAGATATCTTGCACAACTTTCTTTACATATACTTTAGTTAATATTTTTCTGTCTTTAGAAGTGGCATATTTTAAATTTATTTCTAACTATTGTCAAAATATATAAATGTAGTTCAATTTGTGTGTTAAATGTGTATCTTGCAACTTTCCTCAATTCACATATTGATTCTAAAATTGCTATATGTCATCTATCAATAATGAGAGTTTTATCTAATTATCATATTTTCACCTTTTACAAACCTTGCATAGTTTTCTTTCTTGCTGCTATGGCTAGTACCTAAAATACAATGGTACTGGCATTGGATGTAGCATTGATAGTCAGCACCTAAGCTTCATTCTTAATTTCAAATCGGAAGTTTTCAACATTTTACCAGTATAATATTGACTGTACATTTCTTTTTGTCCATACCCTCCACTAAATTAATAGAGTTCACAATTGCTGATAATTCACTAAGTGATGCTTTAGACTTAATGAGTGTTACATTTGCATAGTATGGTGTGGTATTATACTCTACGGTATAAAGAGTGTGCCGTGTGGAGTGGTGTGATGTGGTGAGTATTGGTGTTGTGTGTTGCATTGTGATGTGGTATGGTATGCTGTGGTGTTGTATCATGTGGTGTTATGTGGTATAGTATGGTGTTATTTGGTATAGTGTGGTATAATGGTATTATATGGTGTTATTTGGTATAGGATAATGGTATTATAGTATAGTATAGTATAGTATAGTATAGTATAGTATAGTATAGTATAGTATAATGATATTAATGGTGTTATTTGGTACAGTGTGGTATGATATGGATTGGTGTGGTATGATATAGCATGGTTTGATATATTATGGCGTTATGTGGTGTAGTGTGGTGTTATGAGGTGTTGTGTGGTATGGTATGATGTGGTATACTATGAAATGGTGTGGTATGGTATGGTATAGTACAGTACGATGGTGTGTAGTGTTATGTGATGTGGTATAACATGGTATGGTATGGTATAGTATGGCGTGGTATTATGTGATGTGGTATGGTATGGTATGATGTGGTACAATATGGATTGGTGTGGTATGCTATGCTATGGTATGGTATGGTATGATGTTATGTGATGTGGTGCTATGTGTTGTGGTGTTACGTGGTGTGGTGTTGTATGTAGTATGGTATTGTGTTATGTGGTGTGGTATGGCATGATATGGTAAGATATAGATTGGTGTGGTGTGTTGTGGTCTTGTGTGGTGTGCTATAGTATCATGTGGTATTATATGGATTGGTATGGTGTGGTATGAGATGATGTGGCTGGTGTGGATGGGTGTGAGGAGGTTTGTTATAGTATGTTGTGATGTGTGGAATGGTATGGTGTCATATGATTTGATATGTTGACAAATGGTCCTCTGTTGAACTGTATCAATTAGTTCCATTAGAAATAACCAAGTTGATCAAACAATTCTAAGAATAGAAAAAGAGTAAGTCTAAACTCTCAATTGGTTTCACGAGGTCTGCATATCCTTTGTACCGAAACCCAACAACAAAGGAAAACTGCAGCTCAATCTTACTTATGAATATGAGTGCAAAATTCATAAACAAAATATCAGAAACCAAGAAAGGGCAATACATAATAAACTGATACTTAATATGAATATGTTGTTATATTTTGAGTAATATATCTTGCCTTCCTGGTAGCTTTTTTTCAAATACTTTTAGTTCTGGGGTACATGTGCAGAACGTGCAGGTTTGTTACATAGGTATACACGTGCCATGGTGGTTTGCTGCAGCCATCAACCTGTCATCTACATTAGATATTTCTCCTAATTATATCCCTCCCCTAGCTCCCCACCCCGACAGGACCTGGTGTGTGATATTCCCCTCCCTGTGTCCATGTGTTCTCATTGTTCAACTCCCACTTGTGAGTGAGAACACGTGGTGTTTGGTTTTCTGTTCTTGTGTTAGTTTGCTGAGAATGATGGCTTCTAGCTTCAACTATGTCCCTGCAAAGGACATGAACTTATCATTTTTATGACTACATAGTGTTCCATGGTGTATATGTGCTACATTTTCTTTTTCCAGTCTATCATTGGTGTGCATTTGGGTTGGTTCCAAGTCTTTGCTATTGTGAACAGTACCGCAATAAACATACTTGTGGATGTGCCTTCATAGTAGAATGATTTATAATCCTTTGGGTATGTACCCAGTAATGGGATTGCTGGGTCAAATGGTATTTCTGGTTCTAGATCCTTGAGGAATCGCCCCACTGTCTTCCACAATGGTTGGACTAATTTACACTCCCACCCACAGTACAAAAGCATTCCTGTTTCTCCACATCTGTTGTTCTCCGACTTGTTAATGATCACCATTCTTACTGGCATGAGGTGGTATCTCATTGTGGATTTGATTTGCATTTCTCTAATGACAAGTGATGATGAGCTTTTTTTCATATGTTTGTTGGCTGCATAAATGTCTTCTTTGATAAGTGTCTGTTCATATCCTTCACCCACTCTTTGATGGGGTTGTTTGTTTTTTTCCTTGTAAATTTGTTTAAGTTCTTTGTAGATTCTGGATATTAGCCCTTTGTCAGAAGGATAGATTACAAAAATTTTCTCCCATTCTGTAGGTTGCCTGTTCACTCTGAGGATAGTTTCTTTTGCTGTGCAGAAGCTCTTTACCTTAATTAGATCCCATTTGTCAATTTTGGCTTTTGTTGCCATTGCTTTTGGTGTTTTAGTCATGGAGTCTTTGCCCATGCCTATGTCCTGAATGGTATTGCCTAAGTTTTCTTCTAGGGTTTTTATGATTTTAGGTCTTACATTTAAGTCTTTAATCCATCTTGAGTTAATTTTTGTATAAAATGTAAGGAAGGGGTCCAGTTTCAGTTTTCTGCATATGGCTAGCCAGTTTTCCCAACACCATTTATTAAATAGGGAATCCTTCCCCTATTGCTTGTTTTTGTCAGGTTTGTCAAAGATGAGATGGTTGTAGATGTGTGGCATTATTTCTGAGGCCTCTGTTCTATTCCACTGGGTCTATATATCTGTATTGGTACCAGTACCTTGCTATTTTGTTTACTGTAGCATTTTAGTATAGTTTGAAGTCAAGTAGCGTGATGCCTCCAGATTTGTTCTTTTTCATAGGATTGTCTTGGCTATGTGGGCTCTTCTTTGGTTCAATATGAAATTTAAAGTAGTTTTTTCTAATTCTGTGAAGAAAGTCAATGGTAGCTTGATGGGGATAGCATTGAATCTATAAATTACTTTGGGCAGTATGGCCATTTTCACAATATTGATTTTTCCAATCCATGAGCATGGAATGTTTTTCCATTTGTTTGTGTCCTCTCTTATTTCCTTGAGCAGTGGTTTGTAGTTATCCTTGAAGAGGTCCTTCACATCCCTTTTAAGCTGTATTCCTAGGTATTTTTTTTTTTTGTAGCAATTGTGAATGGGAGTTCACTCATGATTTGGCTCTCTGTTTGTCTGTTATTGGTGTATAGGAATGCTTGTGATCTGGTAGCTTTAAACTTCTTCTTTTGTTCTTTACCTTTCAGTCATGCCTGTTACAGATTCTTTCGCTGTCTTCAGAGCTGCCTGAAGCCCCCCTTGATGGAACACTTAGTCTTTCTAGGAGCTCCTGTAGTCTGGGATACTTCATTGTGTGGCTTGGTTAATCATCAATCTCTTCCAATAGAATGCCAACTCCAAGAAAAAAAGAACCCTGTTGCTTTAATATTTGCCATCTATCCATGTACCCAACAGTGGCTGGAACTTGAGAAAATAAGGAAAACAAAACAAACAAATCCAAAATAATAAAACACAAAAACCCAAAAATGTACACAAACAAAAATTTGTTAGGTATAGAAATGAAAGTGCCTCAAAAACTGCTTCATTAAATAAATACCAGTAACTTCTCGCAGGTTATCACCTAAAGGCAGTAGGTTATTTTCACCCGGACACTGTTTCCTCTGATGGTGCACAGGCTTTTGGGTTCCTCAAGGTACCAGTGTATATTTTCTGGTAATATTCAGTGTGGAGACACTGAAAACTATATAATGTTCTGGGAAATTATGGGGAAAAAAAGCTTCTCTTCTCTCCCACTTCTTTCAGTCCATTCCATGTGACCCCAGATCTTTCTACTTTGGCCCTGGAACAACTACTCTGGTCTCAATATCTCTTTGGGGGTTTTAGGAAGAGGTCATTTGGATTTTGTCAGCAATCCTCCACTCAGGGAGTGTGCGTGTGCTCCTGGCTGGCTGGAGCAGAGAGAAATCTGAATGACAAACACAGAGTTGTATGCCCTGTATTTCCTCTGTTATTGGTCAAAGTTGTCTCTTTGAGTAGTTTAGGAATGCAAACTGTCACTCTATATTTTAAAGTTGACTTTTGATCATTCACATTCACCTTTTAGTAACTCTTGTTCTGTCTCCTTTTCTTTTAGCTTCCCCTGCTATGTTCTAAATCATAAGAAACCCGATTCTGGAATGGGATACTCCCTTCTCCACTTCTCATATAAAAAGACAAACTCCCACACACTTTGGTGTAAGCTGTAAATGTGGGCAGCTCTCCACCAATATATGCTTCCAAGATACAAGCTGCCCTTTTCATCTTGGAGATTAAGAGGGTATGACTTGTTTTGGTAGTCACCTAAAACTGTTAACAAACTAATTGTTATTTTCTGAGCCTGAGCTGCATTCTACAGTGAAACATTTTGAGCACTATGACAAGAACAGAAACAAAATGCCCATTAGAAAAAAAATATAAAGCCAGAACTTTACATTTTTATCCACTTATTTAACTTGTTTATAATTAGATCATATTTCCTGTGTTTGAAACAACATTTGGGTCCAAATTATGTTGTTCAAAATATAAATGATCTGCTTTTATAAACAAAGCTCTTGTCATTTATGAATATAAAAATTTTAGTAAATCTTCAAATCCCAGCCCACATAGGATGATTGTACAGGTCAGGCAGATCACATGCATGTGCAGGAGAGCAGTGATGCTCAAGGTGTGGCTGGACCCACCCATCAACATCAGCTGGGCTTGTGAGAAATGCAAATTCTCAGGCTCCCGAGACCTACTGAACCCTACAGATTCATGGGCTGGGGCCCGTAAATCTGTGTTTCCACAAGCTTTGCAAGTAACTGATTCGCACAGTTCGAGAACCACTTCTCTACAAAATTAATCAATGACAGATGGAACGATGACTGGATTATAGTAATCCAACCCTGATAAATCCTGTTCTTTGTGTTCTCACTCAGCTCACATTTCATCTTGTCCTCAGGAAAAATCACAATACAAAGTAAAATACGTTGTTCAATATCCTGCTTAAAACCAGTCTCACAAACCCTAGTGCCTTTCTCCAATCCACCACTGCCACTCTTGGCATCTGTTGCCTATGGATCTTGAAGTGAAACAAACCTTCTCTTTCACCCTGGCCCCACTTCCTACTCTAGAGCTGGGAAAGTTGTTTGACTGAAATTCTGTGTTGTCATCTATAAACAGTTGATATCACTTCCTACTGTGCTATTTTCATAAAGTTAACAGAAAGCATGCCAATGTAGTTCAGATACATGCTGATTCATTAACTGGTGGCTGTAAGAGACAAACAGAAACTTCAGCAGCTGTCTCTCTGGAAGGAAGAAAAAACTGAATTGTAGCATTGGTGGTCAATTTCCATGATGCAATTACCCCATCATGCCAATTTAATTGTGATTTCACTAACTATTGCATTGAGCAGTGAGGAATGGTAGTACACCATTATATAGTATTGCAGATACCTCAACAGCTTAGACAACAGTGAAGGGTATAAAATAATTTGAAAGTTATGACTACTGAGCACGCATTACTATTTCTTTAAATTGATTTAATTGCAAGTTTATATAATTTAATTTCTAATGATGAATTGTGTTTACAGCTGGATCACAAAATTTGAAAACTGTAGTAATCAGTTCTTGTGAGCTGGCACAAGCCAGCTGCAACATAACACTGGAAATACAATTGGTATGTGTCATTAGCATTGAGTACTTTGGTACAGAGTTGAGTACATAAGAAAAAAAGCAGAAAAGGACCAGAGGTCTGGAGATGGGATAATAATTTAACCATGGTCAATGTGAAGACCTTGAACATCTGTATCAGGATGATGGACCTCGTTCTGCACTCCATAGGGATCCACTGGAGGGGTGTGTGTGTGTGTGTGTGTATGTATGTGTGTGTGTGTAAATCAACAAAGTGACACATATGCTAATCATGGGATAACATTTATGGTAGATTCTGACGGGGCAATGATGGAGAAAGGGAAATTAATTAGAAAACTTCATCTATACTCAGAGAGAAATCTAAGGAGCCCCTGTAGAAGCAGACTAGAAACATGCAGATGCCATGAGAGTCATTTCACTGTGCTCTGCCAATCAGTATTCGGCATTAAAAAACATTTCCTAGGTGAAATGTGTTTCTTGTTTCTCCAAGTGTAAAAGCTGGCAGTTATGAAGAATAAAAGACTTAAAGTCAGACTATAGGAAACCTATACTTAGTAAAATGAAAATTTTATGTGGTAGTTTGCTGTTCCTTTTATTTTCGGATTCCATTTATCATGTCTGTCTAATTTGCTTATCTTAGTGCTATTAGCTAGCTAATATTTAAAATGAGGGATAGTTAATCTTTGTATGCTTAGTAACTCAGTTGGGGTAATTTTAATATGGTTTCTAACTCCAGGATTGACAAGAAAAGAGCGCAGATGTGTAACTTTGTTAAAAGTATATTTTATTAATTTACAAAGGTAAGTAGCAACCCCATTTTTCCATGTGGTTTAGCAAATGAGTGAATATTCCCTACCCAAAAGTCAGAATATATTTACAAATCTTAAGCCTAAGGGTTTGGCTGTAATTAAAATGCAAATTTATTAGCTTAATATAATAGCTGCAAGAAATCTTAAAGATGAATCTCATTGAGCTATTTTATTTCATAGATGAGAAATCTGAGACTCTGAGTGGTTAAGTGACATTTCAACTGGCAAATGGAAATAGCACATCTCACAGACAGTGTGTCATGAATAGGAAATCAGAGAGGTACTCATGCGTGACTAGCGCAGGATGGGATAGGCAAGGCTTGCTCGATAAATGCTCATCCATGTTGGGAGGTCAGGTGGCTGCCAGCATCAAGATTCCAGAGAAGACCTGTCCACCGGCACAGGTAACATTGTGGTTGTTATTTTTATCACTATTAACAGTATTATTGTTTTGAAAATAAATCTCTTTGAAAACATAACTTTGCTATATTTCTGAACCTAATATAAATTTTATCCAGAGAGGCTGTCAAATAGTTTTGAAAACTAAATAGCTACAAAAATTTTGCAATTCATTTCAACATTCTGGACTTCGGTTACTTGTAAAATGAGGAAAATAATAACCTTTTTATGGGGTTTATCTGAAGATTATACTGGGTCATAAATGTAAATTGCAGATGACAGTGCCTGACATTACTTAAGAATTAAAGAGGAGGTTGAATGGTTTGGCTTCCTGATTATGGCTGAGGCACCTCTCCATGATTAGAATTGCATACTCCACAAAGCTCAGAGTTGTTTGCGAACCTAAGAATCATCAAATTCAAATCCCCCAATTTTATAAATGAGAATTTTTTTTTCTCAGAGTGACTTAATAATTTGCCCCAGTTAATTTGGTAATGACCAACATCCCCACGACTATTAGGAACAGCCTAGAAGGAGTTCATTCCCAGGAAGTGGTCATTGTGTTTAAGATACTTCACTTGCCGAAATGTATTTGAACAATTCATTATGTGGGGTATCTGCACTTCCCTCACTTTAATACATATTCACTTTAATATCAGACTGAGAAACTTCTGGAATTTCTGGGTGATCTGATTTTTGTGCTATAAAACAAGAACACTCACATTCACATTTTGTTATCATTTATTGTTGAAATTTAACAATTTTCCACAGCTTCATTGCCCCTTTTACTCCTTAAACTTAAGCCTGTGCTACCTCACTTTGTCCAACTCTGCCTCTAGTAATTTGTAGTATGCTTAACGTCAATCCAGATAAACCCTTATTTTTTTTTACTCTCGGGAAATAGATTTAATTGTGCCCTCTATGCTTTGAGCCAAAGACAGAAAATATTACACATTTGGAAAATTAATTTAATTCCATAAACCTTATTGAGCATCTTTGAATGCCAGGCACTAATGCTGATGCTGGAGATAATTCGATAAGTATGAAATGCTCTTGTCATAAAGAATATCACATTCCCTCAGGGAAAAGCAGAAAGCAAACTAACCACCACACCAGTTCAACAGTTTCTATGAAGGCACACAAAATACATAGAAAACACAGAACACCTAAAGCAAACTGTGGACTTCCTGGAGTCCATGAAGTGTGAAATAAATTCTCAAGGGCCAATGAGACAGAGTCAAGCAGTAAAAGAGGAAAGAATTATCAGGAGAGGGTATGGGCATAACATGGAAACAGGAGACAGTCTATAAGTTGAGTAAGAGACCATACATATTAAGAGAGGGGAACAAGAGGGATTCTGAAGAAAGGAGGGTTTTGTATGACAAAAGTCTTCTTTGTTTGGTCTTGTTTTCTTTGGTCATGATTAGCTAAGTTTGGCTTAATCTAAAAGTTATAGGAAGCTATGTAGCATTTTTAACAGGAAAGTGGCATGATTCCATATAGCAGCAGTATACAATTCAGGTCTCAGAGGGAGAATCTGGAAACTGGAGGACCAACTATGGGTCTATGATGACAGCTCCAAAAAGAAGTGGCAAAGTCTTCTCTCATAGGGAAACATCAAGGAAGTCAATCAATAAATAGCCATGTCTGATTCTGAGTTAAAAGGTAACATTAACCAAAATACTTTATTTTCATAAAACTATCAAGTATCAAGGGATTAGAGATACTGTAATTTTTATGATTTCTAACATTTCTTTTCCCACTGTTAGGAGTCTAGTGGAAAGTTCACTTTCCCAGGACATAACAGCCTCTCTAGGAACATGAATCTACTTTGATGTGAGACACTAAATTTTTCAGCCAACCATGATGTCTATGAGAGACAAGCAAGGTACAGTTCAAAGAGGTCAAAGGGCAAAACTCACCAAGACAAGCCTCTTCATGTCAGAGAACAGGCTCAGATTTCATTAAAAAAATCCAAATCTTTGATAGCCATAAATCACAACCTTCTTACAACTGTTTTTATTTTCAAATTATGCTTAATGCCAAATGCTCTTTCTAGTTTTGACATTTCTGGTAAGATGCCAGAGAGATTGTGCAGATAGCTTGCAAACAGTAAATGCTATACATACAGTAAGTAACATGCAAATATCTAAAAGTGGTTGGTACCCATAGGCAGTCTAAGATCTTTGCCTTCCTAAGGAAAGACACTGGTTAATTCCTGTTTTTTTCCTTACACTAAATTTGCTGATATCTTCTTCTGTATAACCCCCAGGGTTCACACTCTTTGCTAGTTTTTCTTCTTTTCACCTGCTGATGTTTTTCTCAGATAGTGATGCATGTAAAAAACAACTTGACAGCATTTCTTTCCCAGGGAGAGTCCGGTACAGAAGCAAACAGAAATTTCCTTTTCAACTCTTAATATTTATTTGAAAAATGGCAAAGGAAATTTTAAAACTGTACAGTAACAGAACTTTCTCAGCCAAGATATGATAGGCCCTCCTGTCATCTCGTTTGTGTCTGGGTCCTGTCCTGGCAAGAATCGCAGAAAAACTCTAACACAAAGTATGCTGTGTGCTCCGTTTATTCTTATAGATGGAACTGAGAGTCAGGAGGAAGTATAAAAGTCAGCTGGATGAGAGCACTGAGCCTCTAGGTAAACTGTTTAGTCACAGCAGGCCCATTGTGTGTGTCTGTGTGTCTGTGTGTGTCTGTGTGTGTGTGTGTGTGTGTGTGTGTATGAGATAGAGAGAGAAAGAGACACATGGAACACATTTAATAGAAGAGAAGCATATAGGTATGGAATCAACAACTCAAACACTTAGGCTGTATTTGCAAATGAGTTTGTCTCCCAAAGGGTAAACACTGGTATAAGTTGTCTCCCAGAACATGATGATACAATGGGAAAGTGGCTACAAATGCTGTGGAATTGAAGCCACGTAGGCAAAAAGGCTAATTGTGGCTTTTGGTGACCGGATGTTATGGAAACAAAATTTAAAGCCAGGCAGAAGCCATGTAGTGGAACTTTGTCCTCCAGCGGACCTCTTTCCTGCCTCTGCATGAGGTAAGAGGGATGGAGAGTGCAAAGCAAGGGCTGACGACTTTAGCTTGGGAAATTTAGATACCTGTAAAATAAGGTTAGACATGGTGATCTCCTAGCCTTCTTCCATATTACATGCTTTTAACAAAGACATTTATTTCTTCAAAAAATTCTCCTATGCATTCTTCAGGGATAATACTACTCTGAAACTTTATGTTTGCTTGTTGCGTTTGTTTTATAAACGGGTCAAAGGAGTGAGGCTAGTTCAGGTTCCATAAAAGACTCCTATAGCAGTACACACACTAGGAAGAAATAGTGCAGAGTGGTATAAGGTCTAAATTAAGGATTCTGCTGCTTAAATGGGTAGCTTTGGGCAAGTTACTGAACCACTTTCTGCCTTGGTCTCTTCCTTTGAAAAATAGACT
This sequence comes from Homo sapiens, assembly GCF_000001405.40. NCBI lineage: Eukaryota > Metazoa > Chordata > Mammalia > Primates > Hominidae > Homo > Homo sapiens. The sequence goes on along the minus strand of NC_000007.14, from coordinate 49,428,881 downwards.
TAATAATAATGCTGAGGTTTGATGTGAGGATTAAAGGAGGTATTGCTCTACATGAAGCACTTAGAAGAGGGGAGTAAGGATTCAAAAATGTGAACTATTAGTGTTGTTGTTATTGTCATTGCTGTCACTAACATTGAGTAGGTGGTGAATTCGGATCTGTCTTTGAGAAAATCAATCATGTTAGCCCCTCAAAAAGAATTTTGAAACATTCCTCTTAACCAAACTCAACAAAGGGACCAGTATTCACTTTTCCTCTGCAATATCCTGACTGGGGTTCCTGCACCCCAAATTTCTTACAGCTGGTCCCACTCTCTTACACACTCATCAACATCTGCCTCTATGAACTGGCTTCTATAACTACCAACAATCATTGGGTTTAACCCTGACATGCTTATGCCAATTATTTTAAAAAAGAAAATTTAGTTGAATATTACTTTATTGAATGAAATAAGCGTACAAAATTTAAAGAAAGTACTATTGCTTTGTGAAGTAAATTGAATTGCATTCACTTTCACAAGCTGTTCATTTCTTGTGTGGACAATAATTGTTTTCTTCTGCTCAACTTGGTGACCCTTGATTCAGCATAACCAAACAAGCCACTCCCTTGTTTAAAATATTTCAGTGGCTTTTCATCAATCTTAACAACAACAAAAACAAAACTTTTTTTCATGTCCCCCATGTCTGGCCCATGCCCAAGAGTACAATGAAAATAGATTTCATGTATAAGGAATGAACAATTAGCCAGTATTTCCAACATAGCTTCACAGAGGAGATGAGGCTGAGCTGGTATCGTTGGTTCATTCAGATTTTGAGAGGGTTGGTAACAGCAATCATGGAGTCTCGGTACCTCAAAAGTCTTCCTTTGTTCAGTGGATGATCAGGAGACTACTTTCCCTGAATTGGAGACGTATGTTATGAAGTTCATGCTAGAGAGTAATAAATGCTTTTACTTTTGGAAGTTTGTCTCAACTACTGAGTTTGGGCTTTTTTTTTTCTTTTTAAACAAAATAAATGTGTTTGACTATGAGAGTGAGGTGTATATTGGTGAAGATTAATCAGGGAACAAAAGAAAGGATAGACTAAGGAGACAGCTAATGGAAAGAGAGATATTTTAGGAGGTTACTTAAAACATCCCAGGAGGTGGAGAATAACATAGATAAATCATTTGGATTGAAAAGACCTAGTTTTGAGTTGTGAGCATGTAATTTGCCAAATAATTTAATTAACCATAAAAAGGAAACATTTTTCTCCCCAGCTTGTGAAAGTGCTTTGGCAACCGGTGATGGTGAACATGTTTTATAAATTGTCAAAAATTATTAATATTATTTTTTTTAATTCCATGAGCCAAACTAGTAGACTCCAACCTTTTTGCCTGGATTTTCCAGTATTCCTTTAAAGGATTAAGCCTCTGTCATCTACCTTCCCACATTTGCCATATTATATACCTTCATAATCTGCACTTAATAGTTGGCTCTGCTGATATTTGGAGTAAATATCCTTCCTACCTAGATGACAAACATGTTTTTCACTTTTTGGTCACATAATTATTATGATGCTAAGTTATGATGATTTCTTGCACATAGACTATGTATTAAAAATCTCAAGTATTTGAAAATTTCATCATAAAATGAATAACTTTCTTAGGGCTTCATAAAATTAATCCATCATGTTCCTATAGCCTATTTCCTAGTGTTATCAGGTTATCTGTAAAAGCAATTCCCTTACAGATATTACTGAGAGACTTGACCTTGAATTCCCTAAGAGAAGACAGGGCTATACTTGGACATTATTGTCTGAAGCTAATGTATTCATTAAATTAAGCTGGAGCCATTCGGTCAGCTCTCCTTTTTCCTGGGCTTCCCCATCCTCTTTATTCACAGTCGCATTCTGGACTCCATGTTAGCTCGTGATCATTCAAGTTCTCATCTTTGGTGCGTGTATCTGAGTCTACTTTAATCTCTCAGCTCTCCTAACTTTCTCCCACCTAATACCTCACCAGCATTATGTTATTTCTCTCTTCAAAATCACTCCAAAACCATTTTTTGCATTTATGTCACCATCAGTTTTGTAGATGTTGATAATTTATTGAAGAGAATAATGATTCACCTTAGTATATATCATCACTGCCTTCAAGTGCTGATAAAGACTCTGACATTTGATCCTCACAAAAACCTTGAGGAGAATATATGAGAATTATCCCTATTTCACAGATAAGGGAAAATAAAATTGAAGGTCAGAAAGTTAAAAAAATTGCTGATAGTTCAGACATTCTAACTTCAGAAGACGTGTTCACAGACCAGTAGAGAAAATAAACTTATATGCTCTGTTTTTGTTGTTTTATTTTTCAACTCAATTTGTATTTTAATATAATAGATAGAATTTAATTTTTAATTAGAGAATGCATATGTCAGAGTCAATGCAATATTATGTCTAAGTAGATCTCCCATTTCAGAATCACACAGACTTGCAAATATTGCAGACTACAGAAATCACCTAGCCTGATCTGACTGCTGTGGGAATGCTGTCTGCAAAGAGTGTAGAGTGTATTCCTCCTGCTTCTAGTTGGGCATTGAAGGAAATAATGCATACAGTGGTCCATTTCCAAGACAAAGTGCCTTGAATCGGCTTAGGTCAGCCAACTACAGAGGAAACAGGATATACGAGGCCCCAGCTTGGACAGCCAATACTTGCTTGTTGGCCTCCCCTTTCCCGCCCCCTCTTAGTTGCCTTCACCTGAACCAAAGAAGTTTAGTCAAAGATAGAAGTTTACTAGCCTGAAAAATAATTCACTTTTCCTGTTCTTATCAGCCTGCGCAGTTGCTTAGGTCATAAGTCAAATACTTAAAGAAGCCTTGAGCTAACTAGGATTGCAATGCATTGTGGGTTGCAAAAAAAAAAAAAAAAAAAAAAGAACAAGACAACCCTAAAAAACACCTAAAGCCTCTATCCAACAATCAATAGGCAATGTCCAGAAAGATTGTAACTCCATATACTCAGTCTATAAGGAACCAGGGGAGGGACCTGCGCATTAGGGGATAAACTGTTTGCTGAAACTGTGCTAGGTGTGCCTGCCTCTCAGGCACCTGATCTTGCAAGACCATCATTGAAAGTCTCACCTTTACCATTCTCGGGGTCTCTAAGTCCATTCTTTGGGTTTGGACAGGTAAGTTTGCTTCTCACAGGCACCACTAGTTGAGGAGCACCCTTCATCTGCATACACTGTGACTCATCCAATATTAAACAGCTGTTTCATTGTGCATCTTTTCTCAGACGTGACAAAGAAAACATACACTTTTTTTTTCCTTCAGTATTTGGAATTCATCAGTGTCTTTAATGTAAAAGTGATTTATTAACAAGCACTTCTTGGTCAGATGACCTACCATAATCAGTCGGTTAGTTCAGCATTCAAAGGGAATGGAGTGTGTACATCCTGAGGTCGACTGGAGATGTGATTGCCAGTTAACCTCTGGAGTTTGTCAGGCAACTCCATGAAAAGGCTTTGTAAACGAAAGGAATTATTTTGTGGCTGAAAGACACTTTCACTTACTGAATTAAGATTATTATTACAATATTATATGGTGTCTCAATAACTTATGGTTAAAAAACTGCATTATTTAAGTGCACTGTGGATAGGCATCTTAGGTAATAGTGGTGGATTTCTCACCCACAGTTTTCATTTTGAAAATCATACAGAACTCAAAAGCCCTCACTGAGAAAAGGCAGTGAGCTTGTCAGGAAGTTAGCTTCTGTGAAAAGTATTATTACACTGTTACAGATAACAGAGGCCTAGACAGATGAGCCAGCTCTCTCCCACACTAAGACAGAGTTAAATTCAGTCCTGCTATTCATAGCATATCATGTGGTCATCTTCCTCTTATCCAGCAAAACCCACCATCCCTTTTATTACCTGCTGCCTCATAGCACACATGGTATTATTATTGCACGTGATATACCACATCATATATGAATCAGTATTCACATACACTTGAGGCAATATCAAGAAAACGATTCTAAATAGCTCTGTAAGATGACTCAATTTAACATTAAAGATCTATAATAAAGATAATTAAAGCTGTAACCATCCAAGTAAAGACTAATACAACTGACCACCTGACTTTCTGGCTCTGTATCACCTCAGAATCAAAGTGAGGAAGAGTCCACATTTACCACTGCCTCAACCTGTATCTGGCTCCTGGAACAGCTTCCATGTAACTTTCTCAGTTAAGTAAGTGGATGTAGCCCACTATCTTTTTTCTTAATACAGACAGTAAATTATTTGTACGATTGCTTATCACAATATAGTAAGTCCTCATTTTATTTTGTTGATAGGTTCCTGGAAACTGCAACTTTAAGTGAAACAATGTACTGTCTACCATAGGACTTAACTCTTGTTTATATCAATTAGCCTATGGTAAGGCTGCTTTCCTTGCACACTACATTGTTTCACTTAAAGTCACAATTTCCAAGAACTTCTTGATGAGGTTAAGTGAGGACTTACTATATAAGATAAAAATCTAAGAAGAACAGCTACTATTTACTTGGCAAATAATATGCCTAAGGTATTGTACTAGGTACTATGAATGTACTTTTTGTTTGTTTAATGATTATAATCATGTACTTTTTGTTTGTTTAATGATTAATACTCTTATGCTATTTGAATACTTCTAGTATGGAGTGGATATAGATTTGAAATTACAAATTTATTTATTCAAACACAATTTTGTTTTTTTTCAACACATTTGAAAACTAATTTTAACCTCTCATTTTGATAGTTTGGTTATATATTCAATTTTAAATACTTTTTAGATCTCTCCACTTCATAGGGTTATATAATAATCCCTATGAACTAGGTAGTATTTGGAAAATGAGGAAAAATACATAACTGGGTAGAAACACTTGGCCATACCACACTCCCACAAAAACCATCATGTTTGCCTTACTATAATGAAGAAGATGAAGAAGGATGAAGAAAAGTGTCACTTACAGAAGCGTGTGCAAGGCTAAGGGGGCAAACAAGAGGCGGAGAGGCATGCACAGACTCTGAAGTGAAGAGAGCACTAAGTATCCTTAGGACCTACCTCTTCCTGGAGGTAAGTCAAGGAAATAGACTTCCAAATTCACCGGAAGGAGGAAAATCTGCCTCTCCTCAGTCTTATAAAAACATTACCACCACCAATAAACACGTGTGCACCACACAAACACACACACACAATCACACACACGAGGAAATTCAAGACTCCCTTTCCTCCTGATACTTCCAGGTACAATAGGCTTAATTCATTCAGGAGGCTATTGCCTTTGATGACAAAGTTTTCATGAACTCCATTGCTTCTTTTCGTCCTGATACCCAAATGTTTCCCAGTGCAATGAGCAAGACACCTCACTTGAAGAGAAAGCAAAATACAGGTAGAAGAAACTCAGTAATACATTGAATTATCATTGGAGCACTGCATAGAATTACAATATTTTTCAGAAAGTTTAAGAAAAAAAGAAACATGCCTGTCATTACTTCCAGAATAATTAATAAAGATCCTATTTGGTGACTAATCCTTAAAATATATTCTTAAATGTCATTTTCATTAATCATCTGAATGTCGTGTAAGACATATCTAATCGTGCATATTTACAGAGAAAGAACTTGAGTTTCAGAGATGCTGACTAACTTGTCCTAGTTCACACAATTAGACTATCTGACTTTTAATAGAAAATGAGTTATTTGGAACTGCAAGTAATCAGCTTCCATCTTGTAGTAAGGAGAAAGATCAAGAAAAAAGAAATGTATTTAGATATTAGCTTTCAAATATTGGCTAGATTTTTGTAAGTGTGTGAGCAAAAGTCACACAAGGGGATATAAAAATTGCCTTCACTTGACCATACCATACCCCCACCAAAACCAGAGCAAATCTAGAGAAAAGCTGGGAAGTTCATCAAAAGGCAACAACTGTGATTACAGCCAGGAAGGTCATGGTAAGGAGGAAGAATTAAGGGAACAGCTTTGGGTCTATCTGAATGTAACATCTATCCTTATTCATTTATCACAATCTAAATTTCAGAAATATTTGTTGAGCATCTATTATGTGTTAAATACCACTTAGGTAGTTAGAATGCTGACATGACACATCTATATGTTAATGGTATCAGTCACAACAGGTACTCAGTAAAATTTAGTTGCTATTTTCTTCAGTAAAATTTAGCTGCCACTTTCTTTTCAACATTTGCTTAAATATAGTCAAATTCAATCTCTTAATACATTTTTAGAGCTTCAATTCAATCACTGCAATCTAAGCACCTGATAAAATTAAACATCATTATCAATTAAAAATACATTTAAAACACACCCCAACAATGTATCAACATACACAGGTTTAATAACATGTATTTATGGGATCTAGATTAATACATCACTTTGAATACAGACATCTGGTCTCATTTCTTCCCAAACCTTCACCATAGTTAGTAAATATACATCTGTCTATCACATAATAGATATTTACAGTAGACCTCACTTGAAAAGAAAGCAAAATACAGGTAGAAGAAATTCAGAGTAATATATTAATACTATATATATAGTTTTATATATATAGTTTATGTATTTTACAAATACATATTAGTTTATGTATTTTACAAGTAAGTAGATATTTTTATAAAATGTCATAATGCCACTGTATTAGTTTTTTTAGTCTTCCATAATAACATACCATAAACTGGGTGGCTTAAATAACATAAATTTATTTCTTCACACTCTGGAGACTGAAAGTCCAAGATCAAGGTGCCTGCAGGGATGGTGTTTGGTAAGGGCTGTCCTTGATTTGCAGATGGCTGTCATCTTGCTGTGTCCTCATGTGGCAGAGAGAGAAAGCTCTGGTGTCTCTCTTACTCTTCTTAAAACTCTACGAGTCCTATCAGATTAGGGTCCCACAATTTATGACCTCTTTTATCCTTGATTACCTCCCAAGACCCTATCTCCAAATACAGTCATCTTGAGGGTTAGGACTTTAGTATGTTAATCTTGAGGGGTGTCTACAGCAGCAGTAGAAGAGAGAACAGGAGAGGACACAACTACAGGAGAGGACGCAACTGCAGGAGAGGAGATAACACCTTTTATCTGGGAGGCAGATAGACAGGTCCTAACTAGCTTAGCAGTTCTGAACTACCACTATCAGAGGTTAGTTGACAATCATTATATTCCCCATAGAATCATTAAGGCACTCAAAATAGAAGCACCAAGAACCTAAAATAAGAAGGAATAGGTGAAAGCTGTTTGAGAAGATCACAAAAAACCTTCACTCTTCCATGCTGCTTGGTGACTGTCCTTTCCCCTGCAATAAACATTTGGAGTGTTCCCTAAAGAAGATAATACAGATGGTCTCCCTATTTGGCACCCTAGGTGCAGATGAGGCCAACGTACCACAGCTAAACCAAGAGGATCATGTGTCCACATGTGTGCTAAGTGTTGTTCCCCCAGCACCTTCCTACCACTCAAGTTCCAAAACAATGGAAATTAGATTCGCTATCCACACACAGACTGAAACACTCTTCTCTAGCGAACTCAGCCTTGTCTGAGAGAAACAAAGATTCCCCAACAGAAGAGCCTCCTCAGTCACACTATGTGAAGTTCAGAGATAGAAGCCATCCTCTTGTCCATATGTTCAGAACATTATGTCAGCTTTTCAGTTTCTTACTCTTAACTCAGTAGAAGACATCAAGTTTTGCCAGATATATTAGCAAAGTCTCTTTTTAGGAAGATAGGGGTTTAAAGAAGTGGAAAAAAATTGTGACATAAAGGAAATAAAAAACTACAAAGAGAAGACAGTTTTGGAAACTATCATTAATAACAAGATTTTTTAAAGTTAACACTTAAGAACAAAAGGAACTATTGAACAATTTTTAAAGACATCTTTAATAATAAAGTAAATATAAAATCAAAAGAAGATTGGAATATGATTGATAAAATATTCCAGAAAACAAAGCACAAAGCTACAGAAATGGTAAAGAAGAATTAGAATTTTTTTTCAAAGTAAAGAATGAAAGGATAAGCAATGACCATCAGCATTCAAATAATACAAGTTCCAGAAAGAAACAAAATTTTAAAATGTTACAATAAACAATTTAAAATAATGCCCCAAAATTTAAGGTCATAAATAGGAAGGTTGAAAGGTTCCACAAATTGTCCAAAATAGAGTTCTAAATAGACCCAAAGGAAGGTGTGCCTTTAAGAAATTGTGTGATACCTGGGACAAAGATATCTGATAAGTTTCCACAGAGGAGAAAAAGGTGAGACTTCTCAACAGCAGCACGAGAGCTAGAAGACAGTAAGGCAATGCCTTCAAAATTCTGAAGAAAGATGATTTCCTACCTACAATTATATGTCCAGCTGGCATGAGTCAAGTGGGGGCGGAATAGAGATATGTTTACATTGTCAAGTTCTCCAAAAATGCAGTTACCTTACACCATGTATCGGGATGCCACTGAAGTGTATGTGCCACTGAAAGAAAGAGCATATGGGGAACAGGAAACAGAAGACCAAAGAGAAGAAACAGGTCTAAGGGGGTCCCACAATGACTGCTGTGCACTAACAGTAGAATGGTGCTGGAAATGTGTGCAAAGAATCGAGCTTTGAGTCTCACTATGAGGACCAGAAAAGCACAGAGAAATTCAGTCACCGTCTCTTTTATTGATGATATTCACAGTGATTATGTGATTGAATGAGAAAATGTGTTCCTGTAATGTTACTCCACAACCTAGTGTTTCTCTTTAATCAAAATCTCAGCACCAGCTTTCTGTTCCTCATGGACTACAGTGCAAAGTTTCAGAAATACAGATTAATAAATTTTAAGCAATGCAGAAAAAAGGGTGCAGAAGAAAATAGAGCATGTTTCATTCCAACAGATATAGTGCCATTTCCATGTTTTACCTTATTTAACATATGGTAAAGATTGAGACGTGCCCATATCTAAATGATCCCTGAGACCAGAGGAAGCTGGTCCTCTCATTTCCCTGGCTGAATCACACCCATTAACCTCAGAATAGGTGTATCTGTTAAACTCAAATCACATTGAATAAGAAGGGAAAGGTGATTTATGACCCCAAATCTGGGATTCTGTTGCAGAAAAATATGTATATACTTACGAATGTAACCTATCACTATTTTCAAGTATATACACATAAATATTAAATACGTATAAAATATAAAGTAACCTACAGTGATAGATAGGTTATATGTATATACTTGAAAATGGTGATAGATAGGTTAGGTATTTAAAGAATTTTCAGAGGATAATTTGTAAACATTTTGCATAAAATGTAAAATCCTTATAGTAAAATACAGTATATTAACATGTTCATGGGCATTTGTCTGAAGCTCCGTCTCACTAGCTAGGTGGTGGGTGCCATTACAAGGTCTTCATAGACTCAGTTCTTCATCTTTAATTGGGCACATTTCACAGAAGTAATGGAAGATTTAAATAAGATCAGCCATGTTTTTATTGTGGGAATTAGCATATAATAAATCTCAGTAAAGTGTTCTTATTGTCATTCACTCTCCTCATTTACCCTGCTGTGAAATAGCTTCCCTTTAAATCTATCCCACATTTAATGTGTCAACACACAAGGCCATAAGTCCGGCAGCTTGTCCATTCTGCACAATATATCCAGGAAAGAGATGTTGCTAAGCGAAGGAGTAGGTTACTTCAATAAACTTCAATGATTAATGTGTCTTCCAAGTGCTAACCTCCTTGCTGGAGAGTAGCCTACACACTCCAAAGGAGCAGTTCATCAACAGAATTGTCAGAACCCACGCAAAGAACTGAGATGCTCTCATTTGCCAAATATTTCCCCAGCTTGTTGTTTATGTCTCCTCATTTCAATCCATGCTTCTCTACATGCTTCAATATGAAAATCTCTTTAAATGCTTTTCTGATTATTCAAAACACCTGCCACATTAAATGAGGATACTGTTCCTAAATTTCTATGTCCATCAAATCTACAATGGAAATATAAATAAAGGAATGGCCTTTTTCTCTTCACCTTCAACTGTTTTACAGACATATTAATGCAGGACATAGAAGGTTTTTTTATTAATATTTTTACTATTTTGTTATATTTTATGATGTTAATTTTAAATGTCTTCTTTATATATTGCATAACTTTTCTTTGCATCTTATTACTTAAATATATTTATCAACTGCAAAGCATCCATTTAAATGATTATTGAGTTGTAATGATAATATTTAATGTATAGTATAATAATGAAAGAAATAAATATAAACAAAATTTTCATGAATATTGAAGAGCTCTATACTTATTCAAAGTCTTTTGTGGCAAAATTAGCCTATAAATTTCCATGAAAACCCATATCTTCCCCTCTATTAAACTTGCAACTATTATGAGTTCAATATCTCTAGTTGTGTCAATTTTTATTTCTGTACAGCAGTCCTTTGCTTTCAGGAAAATAAAAAGACATGGAAAAACTCCAAGAATCGGAAGATGCCAAAGAATGATTTTAAGGATGGGTCACTCAAGTAAATATTTTTTTGCAGGTAACATTTGCTAATATCTGTGTGCTTTATATATGGCAGACAATGTGATGAGCACTTTGTATGTGGTATTTTATGTCTTGGTAAAACTATGGGGCATATGTAGGAGTATTTTCAGAATTCTTAACTTCATTTATAAGGTGAAGAAATGAAGGCACAATGAATAAAAGTAATTTGCCTAATCATTCAGCAGGTATCAAGGTAATTCTTAACATATAAAAGATGGCTTGACCACCTATGCAACATAATATCTTACTGATAGTATATCAATTAGTACATTTTCAAAATCCATAGTAAACAAAATGAAAGTGATTTGGGGAAACCAGAATGTAACAATATTTGAGATTACATATAAATGGTCTTACATCTGGACGCTTTTAAACTTGATTTTTTAAACTCTAGATAGCCAGTAATGATAATATCATTCCTGTTTTATATTAGGTAAAAACAAAGGCACAAAATTTTTACGTAATGTGCCTAAGGTTGCAAAGCTTCTCAGCAGCAGTGCTGCCAATTTCTTACAGGCAGGCTGACCTCAGATCAGAGTCTGTATACCTGGCTACAGTCTTTATTTCCAGGTGTAACTACAAGTGCAACACTAACAGACAGACTGTAGGAAAGCAGAGCTGCTCAAAATCCTATTTGGTTTCTGACTTTCCTGCCGAGGAGATCAATCTTCACACTGGAAATGGAACACAATATTAGGAACAAGAAATTCTTAGCTGAGCTAGGAGAGAAGTTTATTAAGAGAACACCAGCTTTCTCAAAGTGCATTCCTGTCCCAAGGCCCTGAAGATTATTTCTCAAGAGGAGGAGAACACCTGCAGCCGAGATAGCCAAGTTGGAGATGAAGATGTTTGAGGAGGAATAGACACTGGGAAAATGAGTAAAATGAAGGAGACAACACTAATCAAATAGATTATTGGAAGCATGGCTTATTTAATTCTGGAAAAGGAAGTGGGGACAACCAGTAACCAGCATGCATCAAACGAGTAAATATAGCTAACCAACTTTGCTCCCCACAGGATTGCTCCTAGGCATCTAGGTCATGGTGTTACCCTTCACCAATCACCCACTGTGCCAGGCATGCTGCTAATTGTTTCATATTTAAAGTCATCGACTATGACACATTAAAATCTGAACTTCAAAGCCTGGTCTCATTGTTAAACATCTAGCAGCTTGCCATAGACCACATCCTTCTTGATATGGTTTGGATGTTTGTTGCCTCCAAATCTCTTGTGGAAATGTGACCTCCAAATTTGGAGGTGGGGCCTAGTGGGAGGTATTGGATGTTGGGGAATGATCCCCCATGAATGGCTGAGTGTCCCTTGGTGATAAGTGAGTTCTCACACAGTTAGGTTGTATGAACCTGAGACCTACCCCTTCTCTCCCGCTCTGGCTCTGGCCATATGATGCATCAGATCCCCCTTCTCCTTCCAAGATTATAAGGTTCCTAAACCCTCACCAAAAGCAGATGCCAGCTCTCTGTGCTTTTGGTACAGTCTGCAGAACCATGCATCAAATACAACATATTTTCTTTATAAATTAACCAGCTTCAGGTATTTCTGTATAGCAATGTAAAAACGGACTAATACAGTTCTATTTATTTATTTATTTATTTATTTATTTGGAGACAAGTTCTCACTGTGTCACCCAGACTGGAGTGCTGTGGCATGATCTTGGCTCACTGCAACCTCTGCCTCCCAGGTTCAAGTGATTCTCCTGCTTCAGCTCCTGAGTAGCTAGGATTACAGGCAACCGCCACCATGCCCTGCTAATTTTTGTATTTTTAGTAGAGATGGGGATTTGCCATGTTGGTTGGCCAGGCCGGTCTCAAACTCCTGGCCTCAAGTGATCTGCCTGCCTCTGCCTCCCAAAGTGCTGGGATTACAGGCATGAGTCACCATACCCACCCGGACTAATACACTTCTCTAGTGAAATTTCCTTTCAATGGTTACTACCTTCTCTTTGGTTTTCAATACTTACTTTTCTCTTGTTCCTTACTTTTAGTTTATAAAGGTACTTACTATGACTTTTTAAAACTCATTCCATCTACAGATATTTCTTGTATTTGTCACCATATTTCTTCTGTTTTGGTCTATCTTACGTACCTGAACTAGTTAATTTCCAGTGCCCAGAAGAGTATTGCATGCAGTATGCACTGAACAATTTATTGTTGAGAAATGAATTCCCAAGACTTGAGTATCCTAAAAAATATTGCAGACTCACCCTTGACACACACTTTCTCTCAAACCAACTTCCTAACTGTATTTTCCACTAAAGACTCAGGTCAAAGTCCACCACTGTCTCTAATCCTTGAATATCTTTCCAATTTCATGGCATTATATTATTATTCATCCAAATGGACTTCACTGTTTTTTCTATACTTATTGTAAAATCTTGTCCCAGATGTGTGCTTGGGTTATCTAGAGTTTGTGGGTTTGGGAAGGAAGCCACCTGGGTCCTTGGAGGCGCAGGGAAACTATAGTTAACAGAGATAACACAATGATCAGGGAGGAGTGAAGAGATGATAGAGGCAAATTGTTACTTACTTCAGAGGTCTGGTTGGGTTGACCATTGGAATTTGCAATAAATTTTGTATTCTGGCAGGATATCTGATCTTTCAGGAGAAAAATAAATCATCTTAAGACAAAGGTTCTGCTGAAAATTTTGTCGACACAATCTATTATTAATAAAGGATGGCCTGGGGCTTTCAACTCAAGATTAGAATATTTACATTCACTACCCTTTCCCCCCTTATTACAAAAAAAATGATAATTGGTTTCAGAGCAAGAAATTATAAATGAGAACACAATCTTCAATCACAGTCCAAACATCCCAAGAAAACCCATGTTGAAATAAGGCTGTAAATATTTCATTGTCCTTTGTTTATACTTATTTGGGGTCATTTGATATATATCACTCTTACCACAGCCATTTGTGTAATTAGCATCTCCCTTTGTCATAAAGAATTATTTTCAGGCAATTTAATAGGTATAGTACTCCATGATACAAATTTAGTGGAATTTCCTAAAGTAATCCTTATTATCAATAGTAATAAAATAATGACAGAATGTCAGAATTTTTGGTCAGACATTTTAAAGTAGAATACTTAGGTAAATGTATGAATATAACTAAAGTTTTAATTTATATTTTTACATTTATTTTCAGAAACTTTGTCTCAGTTTATGTAGATATCTATATAATATAATAATTTTAAAGCAATGCTGATTAAGAAAAAATGGTAGCATATTTTGTCAATGTATTTTTCTTCAGTTATGTATGCTTTTATTCCCTTTGTTTTTTGGTCTATGCACGTGTATTTCTACTATTATTCAGTCAAATTTATGAACATTTTCTTTTGCAATTTTCTTTACTGATCTTTAAATATCGTTTTTAGACAAGTTTTAGGTTTGCAGAAAAATTGAGGAAATAGCACACACACAAGAGTTTCCATAAAATCCGAACCTACTATCACTTATTAATAGCCTCTTACTTCCTTTGGCACATGGGCCACAGTTAATGGATCAATATTAGTATTATTAACTAAAGCCAATATTTTATTCAGGTTTCCTTAGTTTTTATTTAATATCTTTTTTGTCTCAAGATCTCATCCAGGATATCACATTACATTTATTTTTCATATTTTGCTAGGCTCCTCTTGGCTATGACAATTTCTCAGAGTTTTCTTATTTTTGATGACCATGGTAGTTTTGAGAAGTACTATTCAAGCGTTTTGTAAAATGTTTCTGTAGTCCATCGTTATGCTCCTAATAAAGACATAACCAAGACTGGGTAATTTATAAAGGAAAGAGGCTTAATGCACTTACAGTTCCACATGGCTAGGAAGGCCTCACAATCATGGCAGAAGACGAAGGAAGAGCAAAGGAACATCTTAAATGGTGGCAGGCAACAGGGCATGTGTGGGGGAATTCCCCTTTATAAAAACATCAGATCTCATGAGATTTATTCACTGTCATGAGAACAGCACGGGGAAAATCTGTCCCCATAATTCAATTACCTCCCACTAGGTCCCTCCCTTGACACATGGGGATTATTACATTTCAAGGTGAGATTTGGGTGGGGACACAGAGCCAATCCACATCAGTCTCTTAAACGGATTTGCCTGATATTTCTCTTGTGATTAGACTCAGGTTACTGGTTTGTGGAAAAAGCAATAGAATTAAGGTGCCATTATCATCACATCATATAAGGGGACATGCTATCAATATAACTTAACAAAGTTGACGTTAAATTTGATCAGCTGTCTGAGATAGTGTTTGTCAGATTTCTTCACTGTAAAGTTGTTCTTTTATGCCTTTTTTTGTACTATAATCTTTGGAAGGAAGTCACTACAGTGTAGCCCACATTTACAAAGTGGGAAGTTAAGCTCTACTTCTTAAGGTGGAAAACCTACATAAATTATTCAGAACCCTTCTGCATGGGAAATTTGTGTATTATCCCTTAATTATTTATGTATGCTATGACTATATTAGTATGAATTCATAGATAGTTATTTTCCACTTTGTATTATAGTCCACTGCCATCTCAACTACTTCATTATTCATATTGTTCCAGTTTTGGTCATAGGAGCTCTTTGAGTTTCCCCTGTGTCTTTGTGCTATATTCCTGTGATTGTGAAATTTTTTGAGCACTTCCTTATACCATGGCATTACAAGATGCTCTAGGATCATCTTTTGTATTTCCTGCCCCAATACTAGAACCAGCCATTTTCCCAAGGAGCCCTGATGTCTTTTATTGGAAAAAAATGGTATTAGACACCAAGTTCTGGAAGTTAGTTGTATGCATTGATATTACGGTGTAGTTGTTTCTAGGCTCTCTCAGTTCATGAAGAAACTAACCCACATTTATAAATATTCCAATATATAATGGAAATCCACTCAGGGGTCTCTAAGTTGAATCTATTGCCATGTGGATCATTCTGGCCTCCTCTGGATGATCTGTAAGTCTCACTCCAACAATGAGAAACCTGGCCCCACTCATCTGCCTTCCATTTACTTAATTATTCAATTCCCTTATATATTGATAGAGGTATCTGAATAGTTAACCCATACCTATGTAGGAAATAATCTTGTCAACCAGATTACAGTGCTTATGTACAGTTCCTTTTTGCCTTTAATCTTATGGACTCGACACATTTACAGAGATACCCAGGTCAGAACCTCCTTCAGTGAGGTTATTTTATACATGTATAATACAGTTATATTATTCTGTCAACTTCTGCATTACCTTCTGGATCCACTGAATGTTTTTGAAATATGCATGTTTCATTCTTTATACAAAGTTCTAAGGATTTTGATAAATACATAGTGTCATGTGCCCACTGTTACAGTGTAATATTGAATCATTTCACCACCCTGAAACATCCTCTGTAAACACTTCTTATCAATTAGCAGACACTGATCTTCTCCATGACTCCATATTTTATATTTTCCACATGTTATGTCAATGAAATAATACAGAATGTAGCCTTTTCAGACTGGCTTCTTGTAGTTAGCAATAGGTTTTTAAGATTCATCCATGCCTTCATGTGGTTTGATAACTCATTCCTGTTTATGACTGAATAGTATTCAATTTTAGGGTTACCTCATTTGATCTTTACACATGTTAAAAGCCATTTTGGTTTTATTTAGTTTGAGCTGATTATGAATACAGCTGCTGTTAACATTTATGTGCACAATTTTTTGTGAATATGTTTTCAAGTCATTGAGTAAGTACCTAAGAGAGTGAGTGCTAGATTGTATAGTAAGATCATGTCTAACTTTGTAAGAAACAGGCACATCTTTTCATTTGGCTGCACCATTTTTTATTCCCAGTAGCAATGCATGGAAGTTTCTGTTGCTGCGTATCCTTACTAGAAATTAGTATTGTCAGTTTTATAGATTTTGGTCATTCTAATAGGTGTGTAGTGCTTACTATTGTGTTAATTTCTAATTTATTTGACAAATAATGCTGGGAAATTATTTATATGCTTATTTCCCATCTATCTTATTTTCTAATGTATCTGGGATTTTTTTCTCCTCATTTAAAAAAATGGTTTGTTTTGCTAATATTGAGTTTTATGAGTTATTTTTATATTTTACATACAAGTACTTTATCAGATATAATATTTGAAAATATTTTCTGTTTGTGGCTTGTCTTTTTATTTTCTTAATAGTTTTTTTCCACAGAAAAAAGTTTTTAATTTCAATTAAATCCAATTTTTCAATTTTTTTTCTCTCATTGATTAGGTTTGATGTAATATCTAAAAACTTGTTACCAAATCTTAGGTCACATAAATTTCCTTTTTTGTTTTCTATATAATTTTGCATTTACATTTAGGTATATTATCCATAGTTAGTTCCTTTTTCTTTTAAGATGAAAGGTGTGTGTCTAGGTTCATTTTTTTTGCATATGAATATTCAATTTCTCCAATAACATTATTGAAATAATTATCTTTTTTCACTAAATTGCCTTTCACTGTTTCTGAAATCTCTATTATATTTATCGATTTGTCTATTTCATTTATTGATTTGTCTATTGTTTCTCCAAAACCATGATGTCTTGAGGTAGCTTTATAATAAGCCTTCAAATGGGTAGTGTACATCCATCAATATGGTTGTTCTTATTCACTATTATTTTTGATGTTCTATGTCCTTTGCTTTGCCATATAAATTTAAAAGAATTTTGCCGGTATCTACAGAATAACTTTCTGGTATTTTGATTGACATTGCATTGAGAATATAAGTCAAGTTGGGAAGAGTCAATATTTTGGTAATATTATGTTTTCCAATCCATGAACATGAAATATCTCACCATTTATTTACATCTTCTTTGAATTCTTTCATCTTTGTTTTATGCAAAGAACCCCTGAACATATTTTGTTAAATTTATGCCTATTTCTTCATGTATATGATTATAAATTGCTTTATGTTTTATTTCATTTTAAATTGTAATTATTTACTCCAGTATATAGGAAAACAATTGAGTTTTTAATATTTGTCTTTCTTGAACTGTGCACCAACTTATTGGTTTCATTGATTTCTGATGTAGTTTTTATTATTTTATTTCTTCCGCTTGCTTTTGGATTACTTTGCTCTCCTTTATTTTCTTAATGTGGAAGGTTAAGCTATAGTTTTAGATGTTTCTTCTAAATATATTTTATTTTACCTTCATTTATGCCTTCTCTGTGTTTCTTAGTTTCTGACCTCTATCATTTTCCTTACATCTGAGGAAATTCTCTTAACATTTCTAAAAGGGCAAATTTATTGTCTGTGAATTACTTCAGTTTATGCCTGTCTGAGAAAATCTTTATTTCTCTTTCACTCTTGTAGAATAATCGTGGATATAGAACGTTATGTTGGTGGTTTTCAATCTTTTGACACCTTAAAAGTTTACTTCATTATCTTTTTTTAATGCATGGATTCTGAGAAGTCTGTTTTTATTCTTCTCCTTGTTTCTCTATGGGAGCTTTTCCCCAACCTCTCCTCTGTATTCTTTTAAGGTTTTCACATTGTCTTTGGCTTTCTGCAGTTTGAATAAGATATGCCTATGTTGTTCATTTTGTTTGTTTTGTTTTATTTGTAGTATTTATACTGCTTCATGTTCTCAGACTTTCCTGAATCTGTGGTTGTCTATCATTGACTCTGGGAATTTAGTAGACATAATTCCTTCAAATATTTCATCTATATCTTTTCTTGGCTGTGTTGAGTCTACTGGTGAGTTCATTAAAGCCATTTTTAAATTTCTGTTATAATGTTTGATTTATAACATTTCCTTGCAATTCCTTCTTGGAGCATCCATCTCTCTGCTTACTTTACCTATCTATTCTTGGATATTGT
This sequence comes from Homo sapiens, assembly GCF_000001405.40. Lineage (NCBI taxonomy): Eukaryota > Metazoa > Chordata > Mammalia > Primates > Hominidae > Homo > Homo sapiens. Next base: position 49,410,505 of record NC_000007.14, on the reverse strand, counting down.
CTACTTTCCTCATTGGAGCTCTGTTAAATAAAAAATTTATAGAAGGGTAATGTTTTGGACTAAGCTCCTGTACTATGCCTCAACAGACCAGACAAAAAACCAAAATGGAGTCACTCATGCTAAAGTGTCATGCCACCAAACCAAAACTAAGATGTTACCTGATTTGAGAAATCAGAAAAGAGAGAGAATAGCTAACTTTCTCAAACATGCTAGTTTCAGTTGTCTTTTGGTATGCTTTATACTGTATTGTTGAAAGTTGGACATGTTGTATTGGGCAATAGGAACCCCATAAGAATTTACTGTCAGGATTTTTGCTAATCTGGCTAAGAGTTGGCTGTATTTGATGTTTCCTGTAGTTTTAGGTACCAGAGGCTTTAAACTTTCCCAGTATCCTTGTGTTTTTCTCCCCTCTTCTCTTTGGGCTTACCTATACAGTTCTCAGATACGGTTTGTGTCTTTCAGTTCCCGATGTAATCTATTTTTATTACATTGGATTTTGTTGGTACAATAATAAGGTGTGATGTGGTGGTAAGGTCTGTAGGAGAGGGAGTATTCTGTAATTATCTGATTAGATTTCAGTCTTACAGTTGATTTGAATCTTGGAGTGTAACCTTCCCAAGTGTTTCTGCAGTGGTACAGCTTTCCCTCTACCTGATCCCTATTACCATCCCTGCTGCATATTTCTAATTTATTTCCTGGAATCCCTGAACCCTGGTGGGGAGGACTTTCTTTTCTCAGCTGAGACAAAGCTTTAGCAAAATTCAAATCAGTCTAGGTCATAGAGAAGGCTCTGAGTGTACTTCCAATGGCTACTCCTCCCTTCCCTCTGCCAAAATCACAAGAAGGTATTTTCTGGATCCTCCCCAAGAGAGTCAAATAGAGTACCAGGAGGAAAAGCCTATGCAAACATGCCCTCCCCTAATACTATGGCTCCTGGACTGTCTCACTCTGACACTAGTCAAATTTGTCACTATTTAAGTGTTTCTTCCAGCTTATGTCTTCATTGCCTTCTAATACAGGTAAGCACTTTACACTTCTACCTCTCTGGATGTGCCTGCCTCAAAGGATTTGGGGATTTAACTTTGCCCTAGAAGCTCGGGTTTTGGATAGGCACAAGAGAGATTATTAATGTTCTGTTTTCCAGCTTTTTCTTTGTTGTAAGTATGATGATGATGACTTCTAAGCTCTTTATGTGTCAGAGCTGAAACTTGAATCATTTTATTAAACAGCTAATTAATTTAAGCTGCTTTATTGAGCTATAACTACATACCATAAAATTCACCTGTTAGAAGTGTAGGATTCAATCACATCTATAAGTTCTCATAGTTGTTCCACTGTTGTCACAGTGCAGTAGTAAACTATTTTCATCACCCTCAAAGCACTCCTCATGCCTGTTTCTCATCAGTCCCCATTACTATCTCCAGTCCCAGGCACCACTAATCTGCTTTCTGTCTCTGTAGATTTGTCTTTATTCTTCACTTAGTTTTACAAATACAGAACACTTTCTCATTTAAAAATGAGAGTTTCTATAGTTTTCCCAGATTGAATAATAATAATAATTTAGCTCTTTTTTCGAAACCTTTAACCTACCCCCCCTTTTTTTTTTTGCTCTGGAGGATAAAACAATGCTGTAAAAACAATTTCAAAGTAGATTTAATAAATACTAATGTGTTGAAATGGGAAAAGTTCCCTTATCCCCCTTGCAGGGCATGCAATGGGGGTGTGGCACGCTTCTTTGGTGCCCTGCTGCTCATATCCCTAGGAGGAGCATGCAGACAGGCGGGTCGTGGGGAGCACCGACCCCACGGCAACATCCAGGGTTGAGTGTTTACAGCTCCCAAAGCCCCAGTGGGAGTGTGTTACAGTGCACTCTTTCAGCTTAGCTGTCCACAGGCAGCTTGTGTTAATCAGCTCAATCAGACCTTATGCAAGGACAGAGGGCTTTCTGTATCCTGCGTTCTAGCCTTAGTGTTTCACCGGAAAAATCGGATCACAAATGGGCTTGGAGGATGGGTGCAAGATTTTATTGAGTGGAGGCACGTCTCAACAAGGTGAATGAGGAGGCCAGAAGGCGGATGGGGTGGGAAGGTGGTCTTCCCTGGAGTCTAGCCGCCCAGTGGCTGGACTCTCCTCCAACTGCCCCTGGCCCAGATCCACGTCGTCCCACCATGGATGGCCTGTAAGCGTTTGCTAGTGCCTGTCGGTGTGCTCTTCTGATCCTCTCGACGTCCAGCAGCGGGTGTGTTCTTCTGCCGGTGTGTTCCTCTGGACATCCAGCCACTTTTATCTGTGCCCACTAGGGTCTCAGGAATATTATATGCACAGGATGGGGGCTTGGAGGACAAGGGTGGTCTTAGAAAATGGAATATTTGGGCGCAAAAATAGGAATGCCTGTCCTCACCTAGGTCCATGGGCACAGGCCTGAGGGTAGAGCCCTCACCAGGGACCCCACCTTTTTCTACCCAGCACTTCCCTGCCCCATTCCCATATCAGTTTGAGCCAGGCATGGTGGCTCATATCTGTAATCCCAGCTACTCACTAGGCTGAGGCAGGAGAATAGCTTGAACTCAGGAGTTCTAGACCAGGCTGGGCAACATGGTGAGATGCCGTCTCAAAAAATATATAAGTAAATACTAATTTTTAAACTACAGCTGTGCTTTTCTTTAAGCATGGGGAACTTTCACTTTAGGTATTATTATTTCAGTAATTTTTAACATAAAATGAACATTTCAATGTTATATAAATATTTTTCCTAAATAGTTAACAATTCCTCAACACTATTTCTTGGATAAATCAGGAAGACGTAATTTTATACTAAGGTTCTGTCGACCTAAAAGGAAGAAGCTGAGGCAAAATTAATATAACTAGAGAGTTTATTTGGGCCAAGTGTAAAGATTGCAATCGGGAGCATAGGTTCAAGTTGCCCTGAATACACACTCTGACTAGCAGCAGTTACAAGTTGGTTTTTTAAAAGCAAAAAAGGGGGATGAATAATGGGCTGATACAAAGCTATTTGCCAGGAATTCTCATTGATTTACAGAAATAACCCCGATTACGGATTGGTTCTACATTGTTAAGCCACAGGGTGGGGATTATAGTGTCCAGTGTGGCAGTATTAAGTTAATTTATAGCTATTTGTGACAATAATAGCAAGCGGTTTCAAGAGAAGAATATATTGCTCAAGGGGAAAGTAAGATTACTGTCTCATTTTAATGCTTCTCTGGGCCTAATAATTAAAAAGACTTGCATTCTCCAGATAAAAGATATTTCATTGTATCAGTGCTGTGTAATGTAATGATCTCAAAAACCAGTGACCTATTAAGTTTTGTGACAATAATGAAATAAACAGCTATCAATTTTCCCTAGAGATGGGGGCTTCAATTGAAGTAACCATGTCTTTCTTAAATAAGCTTCCATAATACAACATAAGTTTGTGTTTGCTTATTTATTTCTTACCTATAGATTAATTCATTCTTTAACTGATTACTAAGAAACATAAAATAGCCAAGCAGAAAAGCCTGTGTGGCCCAGGAAGTTTGTGTTGATTTATTTTTGTTTATTTATTTTTGTTATTCTCAGCTGCTGTGTTCTAGTAGGACTCTGGAAGCCAAACACTTTGCCCCAAATAAGATGTTCTTTGGTGCAGTAATGCCTAGAAGTGAGTTCTTGACTGGAGCCCAGGCATCCTGGAAAGCAGGAGAACCAAGGAAAAGTCTAACCCATGAAAAAACTATGTGAAAGCTAATATTTGGAAAAAATTCAAGCCAAGCAGTTACTATAAAAACTAAGTGAGGCTGGGCGCGGTGGCTCACGCCTGTAATCCCAGCACTTTGGGAGGCCGAGGTGGGCAGATCACTTGAGGTCAGGAGTTCAAGACCAGCCTGGCCAACATGATGAAACCCCATCTCTACTAAAAATACAAAATTTAGCTGTGCGTGGTGGCATGTACCTGTAATCCCAGCTACTTAGGAGGCTGAGGCAGGAGAATTGGTTGAACACGGGAAGCAGAGGTTGCAGTGAGCCAAGATCACGCCATTACACTCCAGCCTGGGTGACAGAGCAAGACTCAGTCTCAAAAACAAACAAACAAACAACAACAACAACAACAAAAACTAAGGGAAAGCTGATGGCAAATATCAGCGCACAGAAAAATCAGGATTGTGGCAAGAACAAGGAAATGGACGAAGTCTCAGGTGGAGAGGATGATCCTGGTAATGTTATCTATAACCCAGGTAGACACCACATGTGGGCTGGTGCTACAATCGTAAAGCTTCACTGGCTTGCCACGACAGATCCTCTGGAGTCTCTTCCTATCTTTACCTTGTGAGTGTTTTTGTTTATTTATAAAAAGAAAAATTACATACAGGACAAAAAAAAATTACAACATTACAGGAAAGTGGTAAATAAAAAGTCTCATTCTCTCCTAGATTCACTAGTCAGAAGTAAATATTTTAAACTATTTATATATATATTTTTTTGAGACGGAGTCTAGCTCTGTCGCCCAGGCTGGAGTACGGTGGCTCGATCTCGGCTCGCTGCAAGCTCCGCCTCCTGGGTTCACGCCATTCTCCTGCCTCAGCCTCCCGAGTAGCTGGGATTACAGGTGCCCGTCACCACGCCCAGCTAATTTTTTGTGTGTTTTTTTAGTAGAGATGGGGTTTCACTGTGTAAGCCAGGATGGTCTTGATCTCCTGACCTCATGATCCGCCCGCCTCAGCCTCCCAAAGTGAACTATTTATATTTTTGGTTTTGTATGTTCTTAATATTACAATTGGAAATTCAAATCCTAAATAACCTATTTCTTCATTTTTCAAATGTGGAGAGTATAGATTCACTCCTTGCTAAGAAAAGTTTAATTCTTACTAACATCTTACCATCAGTCCAAATTATGTTTCATAACCAAATACAGGTTTTCATTTTTAGTTTTATTATAAACTAGAGCCCACATAGAAGATTGTATGTAAAACCTCTAAGTAGCATATAACAAACAAATATATATTAAATGGCCAGATAATGCAGGCTAACTGATATGGTTTGGCCATGTCCCCACTCAAATGTCATATTGAATTGTAGCCCCCATAATTCCTATGTGTCATGGGAGGGACCCAGTGGGAGGTAATTGAATCATGGGGACAGGTCTTTCTTGTGCTGTTCTTGTGACAGTGAAGTCTCTCCAAATCTGGTGGTTTATAAATGGGAGTTCCTCTACGCAGCTCTCTTGCCTGCTGTCATGCAAGATGTCCCTTTGCTCTTCATTTGCCTTCCACCATGATTGTGAGGCCTCCCCAGCCATGTGGAACTGTGAGTCAATTAAACCTCTTTCCTTACTCAATTACCCATCTTGGGTATGTCTTTATTAGCCTGAGGACAGACTAATACTCTAAGAAACAGACCAGTGCTCCAGAAGCCCTGAGATACTACTTTGTGTTCATAGTTCCATAGACCCCTGTATGAGTGGTAAAAACTCTCTTGAATTTGGTGATAATTCTGTATTAAATTTTATACATAATTTTAACAACAGGTATGCCTACCCGTGTGTGTCTCAATATAGATTAGATTTATCTCTTTGCTTCTTTACTTTAAAAGACATTCAAGATATCATATCATTTCATGCATACATACTTAATCTGCATCTATAAAAATATGGGCATTTCTTGTGTAAACACAATGTCATGTTCATACCTTATAATATTATTAGTAATTCCTCGGTATTATCGCATACTATATTCCTATTTCACTGATTTTGTCAAATAATGGCTTTTTCTGTTGGTTGGTTGGTTAGAACAAGAAGAAAATACAGGCCACACATCAATGTAGTTGTTATGCTGAAACTAATCAGTAGGCTCATTTGGTGACAGCAATAGTGCCTCCATTGAAAATTTTCTCATCTAATCTAACGTTGGCACTTGTTACTGATAGTTGCCTAAATCAATCATTTACCCTAGGGCTTGCAAAATGTGATTTTCTAATGGTTTCCTTCTTTCCATATTTGTTAATTGAAATGCTTCTGTAAAAAGAAACTTTTCCTTATCAATTTGGTCTTTGATTATCCAGAAATATAGTTCATACTTGAACTGTAAAACAAAGCCTCAATCATTCCTATTGAGACTAGTTTTATGAGTGAGGACTCCGTGCCTTAGTTGCTTCCAACTGTATCTCCATTTATTATCTATTTCTGTATAGCAAATTATCTCTAAACATGGCAGCTTAAAACAATAAACATTTATTATGTCATACAATTTCTGAGTGTTAGGTAGCTGGGAGCAGCTTCACTGAAGGTTTTGGCTCAGGAGCTCTCATGAGGTTACAGCCAAGCTGTGGGCCAGGCCTGGCATAATCAGTTGATTTGGTTGGGAGTGGAGAAACTTCTTTCAAGAAAGCTCATGGCTATTGCCTGAAGGCCTCTGCTCCTTGCTGGCTGTTGGCAGGAGGCCTTGGGTCCTTGCCACAGGAGGCTGTTTGCAGGGCTGCTCATCAGATAATGGCTTCCTTCTCCCAGAGTGAAGAATCCCAAAGAGAAAGTGAGCAAGGAGGAAGCACCTGTACCTTCCATGACTAGTCTCCAAAGTCATACACCGCCACTTCTGCTCTAAATTTTTCATTTCGAGTGAGTCACTGAGCCTAGTCAACACTCAAGGGAAGAGAAATTAGGCCTCACCTCTTAAAGAGAGGAAAGTACTGTGGACACATTTTAAAACCAACATAGTGTCCTTCCTTCCTTCCTTCCTTCCTCCCTTCCTTCCTCCCTCCTTCCCTCCCTCCCTCCGTCTCTCCCTCCCTCCCTTCCTTCCTTCTTTCCTTCTTTCCTTCCTTCCTTCCCTTCTCCTTCTCTCTCTTCCTTTCTTTTTTTCTTTTTCTTCTTTAATGCCATGCTAAACTCCTCATAGGTTATTCATGCATTTAACCTTTCACAAGGGCATTCATCATTATTAATATTTTTATGCACAAAATTTCCATTCTAATGGGACCCTTATGTTGAATCCTGTGTTGTTTTTTCGTGACCTTATTCATCTTTGATAGCCTTCTACCTTTCTTGAATAGTAAGGTAACCACAGTTGATCTCATATATTTTCTGCTCCAGATATAGAATTAATCATTTATCCAAAGTATTCTGTCTGTGCTCTTGATTGAGGAAATGCTATTTAGAGGCCGTGAACTTGTCACTAGTTATGATTTTTGCCATTGGGTTGTCATGGTCACTATACTTCATCAGACATAGCTAGAAAAATGTGTATTATAAAATAAAACATAGGTCCATATTAGTATTTTTAATGAAAAGTTTACATATATAGGTTTTACTTAATTTCATTGTTTTGTGCTGCTTTCTTTTTTCTCTTACACCGAAAATATTGGTTCCTGACAAGAATAGCATATTAATTATCTGCATTTTTCTACCATATAAATAAAGTGGTTTTAGAATAAGAAAACTAATATTATTGTAAGCTTATTAATTAAAGCTTAGGATTTCTTTGTACCCATAGCTTATATTCCACCAAAGATATATAATCAAAATGTTGTTTCCTGAAATTTAATTTATCTTCATGATTGTGTTATCACAAAAATATATATTTAGATTAGTTTCAGCATTCTTCTAATATTTAATAACATATGTCATTTCTTCTTAAATTTTATTTTTTATATGTGTAAAAAAATTAAAGGATTTTCAAGTCAACATTATTTAACAAAATATTTTAGAGAAGTCTCCCCTTCATCTCTGTGCCTTCTATTTTCCTCTTTCTAAATTCTATTTATTACTTTATTATATTATAAATTATATTATTTGATATAGTCCATGTATAATTATATAAATATTATATATAATATATAAAAATATTTTATTTATTATTTATTATAAGCACTAATAAAGTAATAAATAAAATTACTAATAAATGGTTTCCTTTCCATATTTGGAAGTAATTAAGTTTATTAGCTTATTATAAGCTAATAAAGTAATATTTATTCATTTGACCCCAGATTTTCTATTGGAAGTCTATACTCTCTTTCCATTCTACCATCCTATCCCCCATCCTCTTTCATCTACAGTTACAAAATATAGTATCCTTTATAGAGTTCTTACCCTCTTTAATTGAATAAAATTCAGTGCTCTAGTGTCCAAGAGTTCATATCAGATTCTTCTCAACCTTTTTAATAGATGCATAATATACCATTGCATGGTTCTATTTACACAATCAATTTTATTTTCATGGACACTTGATGTGCTTCCAATTTTTGCTATTACAAATAAAGTTATAACAGAAACTATTACTTTTGTTCAGTATGCATTGTTATAAATGTCTAGAAGTAAGAGTTATAAGAGGTAAATATATATGCCATTTTTCCAGATATCACCAATGTATTTTCCATAAAGAATGTACAATTTCACATTCTTACCAGAAATATATGATAGTGCCAGTTTCTACACAACCTAAGTACATATTACCTGCTATCAGGTTTTTATTTTTGCCAGTTGATGATGATTGTTATTTCAGTGTAATTTTAACTTGTATCTCTTCCACAATAACTGAGTTTGAGAATTATTCCATATTGTCAAGGCAATCATGTTCACTTTTAGTTTTAAAAATTATCTTAGACTCACAAAGTAGTGGTAAGGAGAGTAAAGAGAATTCAATTACACTTTGTATCCAGCTTCCTTTAATGTTATTTTAAATAATCGTGGTTAATTTATCAAAGGTATTAGTATTGATATAATACTATTAACTAAAAGACAAACATTATTTGGATTTTGCTGTATTTTCCTTTAAGTTATTTTCTCTGTTTCAGGATCCTTTCCAAGATACCATATTGCATTTAATCTTCCTGTTTCTTTAGTTTTTGCCAAATGGAGATGTTTTAGCTTTTCATTGTTTTTCCTTGTTTGACGCTTCTGAAATGTACTGGGCAAGTATTTTGTAGAATATTCCTTGATTTGGGTTTGTTTCTGGTGTTGTCTTATGGTTAGACTGGGCTTATGTATTTTAGGCAAAAAGGTGACAAAGGGAAAGTGCTTTTCTTATCATGGGGTACATGATATCAACATGACATTATTAGGGATGTTAATAATGAACATTTGGTTAGGGTGGTGTCTGCCAGGTTTCTGTAGCACAAAGCTGCTACTTTACTGATTCATACTCTATGTACTAGAAGTGAATCACCAGGCCAACCCACACTGCAGGAAGGAGAACTAACTCAGCGGTGGCTGGTGCTCTCCCTGCAGTGCCATGATGGGAGTGTTTTCTCTCCATTTATTCTTTCCTGGGAACAGCTTGTGGGACTCCTGGGGGAAAAGTCTGCAAGAAGTTGCAAACCATAATACGTTTGTAGCCCCTAGAAGCTTCCATTCTCATACTAGCTCTCTAAACCTATGGCAAGTCATTGAATATTTCTAGCTGAGCCTTCTTGCTGGCTAACACCACACTGAGGCATCTATCCCCATAGGCAGTTGCTCAAGTTTTCATTCTCTGCAGCTGCCAGTCTCGTTCCAGATTTAGAGTTAGTGGTTTATCTTTCTACCTTAATTTTCCAATGGGCTCAAAAACTTGGTTACTTTGCAGTTTTCCATCTTTTTTCCTGCCCTTAGGGTGGTACTGACAGTCTTTCCAATTGTGCACACGTCCAAGCTCAAATCTAACAAATGCAAGGCTATTTTTATTTCTTCTAAGAATTGTGTTCACAAAATCTGCTTGATATATTTGGGTTGAATTTCTGGAATAAATCCTACTTGGTTATAATGTGGTACATACATTATTAGATTTTGTTTGATGATATTTTATTTACCATTTTTACATTGATAGTTAAAAATGAGAATTGAGTTTCATTTTTAAGCAATGGCTACAAGTTTTCATATCAATATGCTCACATCAACAAACGATTTAAAATGTTTTTATTTTTTTGAACAGTTTTCTTAGTAGTATGATTATATTCCCTTTAAAACCTAGGTGGAAACAAACCAAAAAAAAAAAAAATTTAAGGGACAAATAATTAAAATTTCTCACTATTTTTTCCATGGAAATTGGATTTTTTATACTTCATACTACCAATATATTTAGTTCAATAATAAGTAAAGTAAATAATTATGGAGTTGCATTTTGGAGTAAATATGTTTATGTATAATTTCTCTCTTTGCTTAATTATTTAATGCTTGATATTCTTACTTCTTATACTGCACATTCTCCATTCATCACACTTATTATTTTTTAATGTATAATAAAGGTTTTTCTTGTTGATTTTTCCAAAGAAAGAGCTTTAATGTTTACTCATTTATTAGTTATTTTATTTTTTTCTGTTTCCAACTTATTACTTTCTGGTCTTGTATTATTTATATGAACGATTTTATATTATTTATGTCATTATTGAATGACAATTTTGTGTAATAGAGTTGGGAGGATTTTTTTTTTCTATTCCTGGCTTCGTCATGACAGATAGGTGTTGCTGGATATTTGAAAGCCTGAAAGTACATGAGTACATGGGCTTTGGCAGGGGAAGTTCAGGTAACTGAAATTGACTCAAGGAGTTGCTTGTAAAAAAAATAAAAAATTTGAAAGCAATCAAGGTTTGCTTTCAAATTAGCAGGCTACAGATTGGATTGTCATTTTCATGTATGGATGCAAACGTTTTTAAAATTCTATTTCTACAGCCTAAAATGTCTAATATAACTTATCTATTTATTGAATAAACGTGAGTTGAACATTTGTTATGTGAAATACACTATGGAAATGTTTAGGGAAACAGAGATAAATAAAACACAGGAATTATCTTGAGAAAGTTTACCTTCTAGAAGAGACAAGGCAGTCAGATACACATACATGCACATGCACACTCATCCACACATACCCACTCAGGTACACACACATGAACCCCCTCACTCACACACACGCATGTGCGCACATGCATGCATACAAGCTTCCATCTCATGCTTCAATTATTTATGATAGTGTGCAATATAATTATTCAGAGAGGCATTGAAAAAACTCTTGGGAACACAAGACACATCAATGAATTTTCACTGGAAGAGGCAGAAAGTCTCAAGAGAAGCATAAATATTTGAACTGGACTATAAAGCATTGAGGGAATTTTGTCAGTTCTAGGAAATAGGGAAGGTAATTTCTAACATGGAAAATTATTATCACATGAAAAATCATGAACGTATAATGAATATGCTGAATGTAACTAACACAGCGGGAGAAAAGGGAATAACTGAAAGGCAGAGAATGAGGCCGGGATTATATGTCAAGAGAAAAATTGCAAATGACTTTCAAGACTCCTGTAAACTATATTTAAATTATACGGAAGGCTGATCCCAGGTTTTGAATTTGGCTCTGGCTCCTCTTTTGTTCCAATCCTTTGCTCTTTCTGTTCCAATTAGTAGTTTCCAGGCTTGAGTCCATCCTCTACCACCTTTTGCTGCAATCTCATTTCTGGCATACAGCCTGCACCCTACTCCTATTATTTTCTGGTATAGATTCTCATTTCTCACCCAGCTGTACAGCTGCTGCTGCAGCTAGCTGGGATGTTTCTCCGGAAGCCACAATACCTGTTTGCTTCCCACCAGCCTCTGCATGAGTCAGACAATTTGGCTGCAGTAGTGTGGTGAGGATTGCAAATGTGCAGCTGAGACATTCCATTTGCTGTGACTCCATATGCTGCCCATTAAATTCTGGCCACAATCATACACGTTTGCACTATGACCCAAAGCAGCTTTCCTTTCCTTGGTGAAAATTGATACTTTTCGTAAAGCCCAGTGCCCTGGCATGTCCATAATCATTCACTTGTCAATCATTGCTTTGGTGTGGAACACCTTTGAGGCTTTTCTCTTGCTACCAGCTCCAGTAGCCTCTCAGAGTCCCTGCCCAATCTTGAGAGGAGGATAGAACTTGCATTGAAGTGATTAGAGAAACCTCAAACAATTCAGAAATTCAGGTGGACAGGCCACATGCTTTCACAAAGCAGGTCTTTGGCAGCGAGAGGCTCTGATGAGGGAGAAGGAAGGGGTGCAGTATATTTCAGCGGATGCACGTGGCTGAGCGCTGATGCTGTGCTTTCTGGAGAAAATAAGCCAAGAAACCTCAAGCTGCTGTTGAGTCCTCTCCACAGGCTCTTGGGAATGAATGGGCTGGAAGGCCCTGAGCACATTGCTTAACTTTTCTCTGTAAATCCATAACTGTTCCCCCAGGCAATTTTGGAGTCAGACTGTGTAGTTTATATTTTAACAAATTATTCTGGAAAGAAAGTTGGGGTGGCTGCTTATATCCCTCGCTATTTCAGTTTCCTTGATTCAAAAGTCTTATATTATCAACTTTGCTTTTCCCAAGTTCATCATTTTATGGGCCACATTAAGTATATTTTTAGATATTTGCCATTTTCTTCATTTAGATTAAAGCTGAGAAACAGAATCTCGCTTTCTCTCCCTTTACACGTTCGGTTTCATTTTACATTAATTGTGTAGAGGTTATAGATTTTGAAACTTATTTTATTCAAGTCCCACCGTGTTTTCTTTACATGTTGAATATGACAGAGATGAAGCCATTAGTATTGCTATCATCCTCTGTCAGACACCCTTTTAGAGAGACAGCCTGAGACATGAGTGACACTGCCAGAGGAACTCTGCCAGAGGAACTGCCAGGTTCACCTCCATTTCTCTAGCACAAAGCCCCTGGTTCACCAAACATACTTTTAATGTTTTTTTTTAATTTTTTGAGACCTTTGCATTTGTATTTTGCAACAGCTGCTTCTGGTTCCTCTTTCACCCCATGGCAGAGTTCCTTCCAGGGCAGTGTTTCTACTTGTTATTCATGAGTAGGTTTATAGATCTATGAATATCATGAAATTGCATGCAAAATTTGTGTTTTTGAGAATATTTTATTGAGAGCTATCGTTGTAATCAGATTCACAAAAATCTAATCAAGAAAAAATATACCATCCAGACTTAATTCAAATTGTATCCCTTTTAAGGAAGACATATTTTCTTTAATAGTAAAATTGTGGCAATTAATTGAAAAATCAACAATTGCAGCCGACTAGTTACTGGGTCTTGCAAGTGTGCAGTGGACATCTCTGTGCAGTTAAAGCAGTCATGTGCCTGTATTCCCAGCTACTACAGAGTCTGAGGTGGGTGGATTGCTTGAGCCCAGGAGTCTGAAGCTGCAGTGAGCTATGATCACACCACTACACTCCAGCCTGGGTGACAGAACGAGATGCTGTCTTAAATTAATAAATGTAGATGAATAAATAAAAAATAAGGCAGCCACACCATACTGCCCTTTGTCAGTCTGGCCTAATTGTGAACACAGGCAAGTATTCCAGTTCTCTCTGACAGGGCATAGCCAGATTGAGAACAATAGATAACACTTTACTGAACATTAGTGCCAAACAAAATGTAAATAAATGCAGTCAGTGCCATCTAAGTAGATGAACTTCTTTAGAAAATATGCTCACTCATCTTCAGCACGTATTCTATGTAAGGGTTATATCTTGACCTATTTTTTCTGTCACCCAAGAGTTGTCTTAAACATTTCAAGACATCCTGATGTGTACAATGGGAACTCAGTTTGAGAAGTTCAAACAGCGGCTGTCTCCAGTACTTTTCTCCTGCTGCTTGTGGATGGCCTTTCCCTATGACTGACAGTGGAAATGAGCTGTCCCTACTTGTGTTTGTCCTCTGGGTCTTTTTTACTCACCAGCACCTTAAAACTGGTCTTGATTTTCTTAAGTCTTCTCATAATGCTATTCTTTCTGATTTTCTTTCTGACTTAGTCCCTAAATCTGCAAAACTACCTCCAGGCTGAAATGCTGGCATCCCTTTAGTTGGAAACTTTCTCCTCTAGCAGGGAGACTGACTTACCAAATGCACTGGGTCAGTAATTGGTGCCTGCTTTAGGCAGGAAAGCAAATATAGTGCATACTCAGAGGGCCTGGAGTCCGTTTGCGATCAGTACCTCTTGGATCTCTGGAGAAGTCCATTTCTGCAAGGTTTTCTCCACTGTCTGCCCCCTGGGTGGTAGAGAGTAAGTGAATCTGACAGCATTTGTTTGGTTCAGTGGTTCTCCTTTTGCCTGCTGATTACTTCTGCCAATATCTGGAATGTCAAATACAGCACCTATGTGTCATGGCTAGCTCACCTCAGCAGACCGTGTCATTACTCAGTCATTCACTCATTTTCACACAACAATATGTAAAAAGATTATAGGCATTGTGGTAGGCATTAACCATAAGAAGACTAAATCCCTTCTGTTTGAAAGCTTCTGTTCTAATGGAAGAGGCAGACAAAGAGGCACGGGACAATATAAATAAGCTATGAAGAGTTTTTTCTTGGACCTGTGAGCAGGCTGAGGAATGGCTTCTCCCCAACAGATCTAGCCCACAGCGGGGAGATTTTGGGGAGCTGGGTTTAGAGGAGGAGTACAGGTGCAGAGAAAGAGCCAAGGGAGAGTTCTGGAAGTCAAGTAGTAACTTGTGAAAGAGGTTTTTCTGCTTTTTGGTGAGACATAAGGGTCACATTTGAGATGGTAGCCACTCACGGGAAAGGCCACTTCAGAGCTCTCTGTCTATTCCTTTCAAAAGGCATGTCCTGGATGTGTTAAATTTTTATGATGAGAGACAAGAATTTGTCTCTGATACTGGTGTTCTGTTCCTTTAAATAATCTAAATTTCTAAAGCATATTTAGTCATGTCTACCACTTCATATAAAGCAACAAAATAGAACAAAATTGACGGTTCCAAAATAACTTTAGCCTCTAAAATTCAGTGCATCCTCTGGGTTCTTATAATTTTATAATTACCTCCACAGGGAAAATAATAAATACTGCCGATTGATAACTACAGAAGAACATTATTACAGTAAATGTAAAGGTGAAGCAATATTAAATTAAAGACCCATCCATAATAGTATTTAAAATGAAATTAATTGCTGTAATTAAGTCTGAATTTATTTGTTTAAAAAAAAGGAAAACAGCTCTTTGGAGGCCAACTCATCCCAGGCAATTCTATAAACCTTAATCAGGTCAATTCACTTTAATCTGATTCAATTCAAAAATGTTCAACAAGTATTTTCTGTGCTTTTTACTTAGTGTCAAGCCCTGTTGCAAAGCAGAGGTGCAGACATGACCAAGGTGTTTACTTCCCACTCTCAAGGAAATTAATAATAATAACATAGAAATATGCTCAATGTGCTAAGAAACATAGGTGAGCATGAATAATTCAATCTGGGGGAAATAATTCTTCAATAATAAGTGTTTTTTGCTTTTTTTTTTGTTTTTTTTTTATACTGAGTCTTGGGAATTTAGAGAGATTTCATGTAGGAGCATAAAATATGGAAGGATATCTCAGATATCAAGCCAAGGAGATCAAAGCCTCAAAGCAGGCAGGAACATAGTTTCATTATGCATATGGACAGATTGCTGTATTCACAGCACTGGTTGTACCGGGATATGGGCAGAGCATAAAATAGAAAAAGTGGGCTGTGGCTAGGAAGGACAAACTTTGCCGTGATGAATACTATAGTAACATTGCTGTACTGCAGTATAACATCTTGGTAAATACTACAACAACATCATTATGTTTGACATCATAAAAATGTATTGAAATCTGCATTTTTATCACCAATTATAGTGCTTTTTAAAGATCCTGTTTACATATCATTGCCTGTGTTGACCATCACCCTATACACTCTAATCTCACAAGAGGTTTTTGCATCAGTCAAAAATGAATGATTTTGATGGTACTTTGGGCACCTGGCTTTGGAGAGAGAAATGACAAATAATCAGAGTGGACATTTCCAGTTACAGATCAGACAATGGTCTGAGGAAAGGGGCAAGTGGAGATTTGCCAATGTGTACATATCTACCTGAGAACTTTTCCCAGCTATAGGAAAGAATTAGAAAATAGACTGAAAATGCAGCACAACTGTAAAATTAAAGATAAGCAAGAGTACTAACAAATTTATAAGCTCTTAGTGGCGAGAAATGAAAATAGGTAATGTAGGTCACCATTATTTCAGCTAACCAGTACAAATCTAGAAAGGAACTGTAATAAATCTCATAGTTGATCTGTATTGTGTGATAATTCAGCTTACTTTTTATGTATTGAAGAATTTAGTTATTCAACACAGATTTATTGACAAATCACTCATCAGTAGTGACAATTCTGTTAAGATGATTTCCAGGGTTTTCATCTCTCCTGCATTTTGGAGGGCACAGGAAGATACCTGGATAATCCCACTGCAGTGGAACACTTGCATTGAGAGCAGCATTTCCATGAGGTGAAGGGAGTAGTGATTGATTAATTCTGGATAAATTAGTTTTTCCTGAATTTACCCAACAGATATGTTCTTGCAATTGTCAGAATGAATTGCATTCTGACTTGCAGGCAAGCCTTCTTTGGGCTTTACACTCTTCACATTAATTTATGTTTATTTAATTTGGTTTCTTTAAAGTTAACATCTTCTTGAATCATGACTATTTGCCAGCTTAAAATTAATATTAATCAGAAATTATTTAATGTGCACTATATTTTCAATTAGAAACTTTTACAAAAGGTATAATAAGCAAACTCAAAATTTCTTAACACAGTTTTGCACACTGGACACTCACACCTCTGTCTGAGCTGGAAATTTATCCTATCCCACATTAGATTCTGCACTGTTGCAAAGATCTGGGACTTCTTCCAGAACTGTCTCGTTTTTCTGTAAGTGATTCTGTTTCACTAGTGCATCCTAAGGTATGAAATGATATTGCAAATTTCACCAACTCAACATTTCAAATTCATAACACACATCTTAAATGTGTTACCATGTAATCATGGCTCTTCATAGGTAACTATTTCATGAAATACTCATGCTATTGAAAGCTGGGCGTAAATGAGAATTTTCTATTACTAGATTTTCAAAGCCAGGGACTCTGCTCTTACCCTTCTTACATTTTCACATCTCTCTTTCTCCTTCTCACTGCTGCTAGTAAAGCTTCTCTGCTTTTACAGACTTGCATGATTAGATTTAGCACACCTGGAAAACCCAAGATTATCTCACCACCTCAGGGCTGGAATATTTAACCACATCTGCCAAGTTGCTTTTGCTATATGAGACAACATATTTCCAGGTTCTGGAAGTTGTTAATTGCCTGTAATCCATTTAAAAAATGTATAATTTAAAATAGTAAGTGACAATAGTGCAATATATTTGTTTGTAAGTTAATCTTAACCTGCAAATCCAGGCTGATGAGTTGAAATCTGGATTAACCTAATCAGGGTTACACACACCAAAAATGAACAGTTAGCATTGAAGACCTCTGAGTAGGCTTTCTATCTCCAAAGTTCTTGAACTCCTGCTATCTCGATCTTCATCAGAGATTTTGTATTTAGAATGACAGTAGATAGGAATAATTTTTCATAACTGAAGTGAGTGACGTTTATATTTGAGATAAATGGCTGGCTATAAATTGGTAGAGTTACTTCCATATCTCAGGTGAATGGGTATAAAAATGTGATGTGCCCACACCTGTTGCACATTTGGAGTATTAACCTAGATCTTGAACTCTATTTGGTCCTGGGTAACCCACTTAAAGGCAAACTCTGTTGCCTTATCTACCTAGAAGTTTGGTATACAGCAACAAAATAACATTATACTCACTTTAGATGGAACCATTCAACCAAGAGCATCTTAGAGAAACTTTACTTAGGATAGACAAAAGGAATTCCAAAAAGCTTGCAGGAGGAAGCTGTAAGTTGTCAGTCTCTAATTTGAAAAGAAAATTCTTGTTTGTATGCTTTGCAGTCCTGTTTTATACTTCTTTTATTATACAATCATCCTGGTAGCAAGACTGTGTATGTGTGTGTGTGCATGTCTGTGTGAGCATGTGTGTGTGTTTAAGAGAGATCATTTCTAGCATCTAACTAGTCCCTTACTGGAGGTGATCAGTCTTGATGAAAATAATGTGACAATTACTGAACAATCAAAATGATTCAGATTATTTCTCAACAGGAATGGGTGTGGTACCCTGAGAATGTGAAAAAGAAAAGGGAACTAAGTTTAGAACACTGATATGTAATTTTTAAATATGTATGTTAAAACCAATTCACCAATAAAGTGAATTGGTGGAAGTCTACTTTATATATTGTGAAGAATTGTACAACGTAACATGATAGTCATAAATATGCAATTTATTGAGCAGAGCCATGTAATTGTTTTAGATCAATTATTTAATTTAGTTCTAATAAAAACATTATGTAGTAAGAATCATTTTACATTTTCAATTTACAGATGAGGAAACTGAGACCACATTTAAAGTAAGTTTCGAAAGCATCTTTCAAATGCAGATATGTAATAGGTGACACCAATATTCCCACAAGCAATAGAATAAAGTCCTCCTTATTTTAAACTTCATAGGATGCTGGCATACATTACGCATTCAAAAAGGTCCTCAACTCCCTTCTCCTTCTTGTGCTAGAGAAATTAATGGGAATATGGATATGTCCTGTCAGAGAAAGAGGATGTCCTGGTATAACAATTTCATTTGAAGTTATGGAGGTTGCTCTTGCTACAAATATTGCATTTGTTTATTATGGAATATATGGCAACAGAAAAGTCCTCCCTTACTAGGTTGAATACATCAGTTTCCATTTTCATTGAATTCAGCTAATAGGGCAGAGGGGCAGTCAATATATGTCCCCACCTAGGTGTTAACAGAGACAAGAAAACGTGAAAAGTGCAGGCACAGAACAAGGAGGTTCATAGACACAGGTGTGTCCTCCCCCAGACCTAATATTCAATAGATAACTAAGTACTTGGGATTCTACCAAAAGGGAGATTAAGCTATTAAGAAAGATGCATAATGTAGATTTAAGTGCATTTCACAAATTAAAGGTATAACTATGTTTGTTCTTCCTTGATGTCCTGAGGTAGAAGGGGGCTCACAGGAGATACCATTAGAGAAAAAAAGAATGTGACCTCAGAGCCTTGGAAAGATATAACTGATAGGGTGTGAGCATACTCATAGAGAAGCTATTTTGGAAGTCTTTGGAAAATTAGATGATTTTAAGAATATATAAAATGCCAACCTCCAAATAATTTACAAAACATTGTGAACAAATTTTGGGATTGCATTATTGTCATAGAAACAATCCTATTGCTTAATGGCATTTTGGTTTTAGCCAATATAATACTGTGGTTGGCATTTTTAATATCATCATTTTTTTAAATTCAGAAGATATTTTAACTCATTACATTCTAAACTTGTTTACTCAGCACACACTATTCATATTGATCACTTAGCAGGATATGAAGAAAACTTGCTGGCATAGGGCATAGCCTTGACCTTAAAAAATGTACAAATCAATGGCAAGTTTAGACATGTACCCAAAGCACTAGGACCCAAAGTAGTAAGTGATATCTACTCACTCAGCAAGTGTTTATTAAGTACCTTATTTATATGTGTCAGGCTCTATCTGGAAATACAGCAAAAATCAAAACAGAAACAGACAAAATTTAAAACAACTATGCTGTCTCTATAAAATTTACATTTTAGTTGTTGGTGATATATAATAAAAATGAATATAGAAAGCTTAGAATTCTACATGGATGGTAGGCAGAATAACTCCCCCCACCAAAGTGACCACGTCTTAATCCCCGAATCTGGGAAGATGTTACTTTACATGAATCTTGGCTTTGCAGATGGGATAAAGATTATACACTTTAAAATAATAGGAAGTGCATTTTGGATTATTAGTTGAGTCCAATCTAACCACAGAAGTCATTAAAAGCAAAGAATCTTTTCCCACTGTAGTTGGAAGAGATGTGATAAGAGAAGCAGGATCCGAGAGATTATACATCACTTGCTTTGAAAAAAGGAGCCATGAGCCAACAAATGTGAGTGTCTCTAGAAACTAAAGAAGGCAAGGAAGTGCATTCTCTCCTAGAGCCTCCAGAAAGGAGCACAGCCTTGTGCAGTGCTCAATTCAGTGCAGTGAGTTCCCAACTTACTTTGTTTAAGCCACTGAGTTTGTGGAAATTACTTATGACAGCAATAGAAAGCTAATTCAGATGCTGAGAATACTACAGAGAAGCATAAAGCATAGAAGAGAAAAGGGAATGTTGGTGGTAGAGGATGTTGCAGTTTTCCTTAGGGTGATTAGAAAAAGGCTCCTGGAGAAGATAAGCCAGAGTCAGGGTCGAGGAGCCCTGTTGATCAGGGAAAAGCATGCCAGACAGAGGAATAAGACATTGCAATATTTGTTGCTTAGCAGAAATAATTAATGTCCAGGGGCAGACAGAACGATGAGGTAAGGGCAGAAAGTGATTAAAAGCTATTGTAATGAGTCTGATTTAAACTACTTTAGCAGTTGTGAAAGGAAAATAAAATCTCAGGACCTTAAATGCACTATGCCAAAGGGAAACGTTAAACTGAAAGCTGAGTCACACAAAGAAATTGCTGGAGATAGAAGGCCAGATGTCTCCACAGGTGCTACTCTATGTTTACTTTATCTTATGTAAATTGTTCATTTACTAAGCATGAGAGGAATACATAATTGACTATTCTTCTTTCCACTCCTTTCACATGTAAAACGTGGATTCAGTGAACGCTGATGGAAGCCTTAAAAAAATGCAACCGCTTTCCGCTTTTATCTACACTTCCCCTTTTCTTCTTTCTTCTTTTCCATACTGTCTGGCCTTTCCTTTTTAAATATTGATGTCCAGAGATCCTCTTTGGTAAAAGCATGGATCACAGATTGTTCCTGTGGTTTTGTGTTTCTTTTTCCTCAGCATGTCTTCAATCTTAGCAAAATAAACCTCTAAATTGATTGAGACCTGCCTCAGGTACTTTTTGGCTTACAGAGGATATATGTACTAAAATCTGATAATGGTGATGCAAAGGAGAGAATTTTTTTTTTTTTTTCTTGAGACACGGTCTCACTCTGCTGCCTAGGCTGGAGTGCAGTGGTACAATCATGGCTCATTACAGACTTGACCTGCTGTGCTCAAGTGATCCTCTCATCTCAGCCTCTTGAGTAGCTGGGACACAAACACATGCCACCACACCGAGCTAATTCTTTTATTTTTATTTTTTCTAGAGACTGTGATATAGTTTGGCTCTGTGTCCCCACCCAAATCTCATCTTGAATTGTACTCCTGTAATTCCTAAATGTTGTGAGAGGGAACTGCTGAAAGATAATTGAATCGCTGGGGCAGTTTCCCCCATACTGTTCTCTTGGTAGTGAATATGTCTCACTAGATCTGATGGTTTTATCAGGGGTTGCCACTTTTGCTTCTTCCTCATTCTTTCTTTGCCTGCTGCCATTCATGTAAGATGGGACTTGCTCCTCCTTGCCTTCTGCCATGATTGTGAGGCTTCCCCAGCTATGTGGAACTGTAATCCAGTTAAACCTTTTTCTTTTGTGAATTGCCCGGTCTCAGGTTCATCTTTATCAGCAGCTTGCAAACGGACTAATACAATAAATTGGTACCAGTAGAGTGGGGCATTGCTGAAAAGATACCTGAAAATGTGGAAGCAACTTTGGAACTTGGTAACAGGCAGAGGCTGGAACAGCTTGGAGGGCTCAGAAGAGGACAGGAAAATATGGGAAAGTTTGGAACTTCCTGGAGACTTGTTGAATGGCTTTGCCTGAAATGCTGATAGTGACATGAACAATAACATCCAGGCTGAGTTGGTCTCAGATGGAGATGAGGAACTTGTTGGAAACTGGAGCAAAGATGACTTTTGTTATGTTTTAACAAAGAGACAGGTGGCATTTTTCCCCTGCCCTAGAGATTTGTGGAACTTTGAACTTGAGAGAGATGATTTAGGGTATCTAGTGGAAGAAATTTCTAAGCAGTAAAGCATTCAAGAGTTGACTTGGGTGCTGTTAAAGGCATTCAGTTTTAAAAGGGAAACAGAGCACAAAAGTTTGAAAAGTTTGCAGCCTGACAATGTGATAGAAAAGAAGATCTCATTTTCTGAGAAGAAATTTAAGCCGTATGCAGAAATTTGCATAAGTAATGATGAATCAATGTTAATCCCCAAGACAATGAGGAAAATGTCTCCAGGGCATGTCCAAGGTCTTCAGGGCAGCCCGTACCATCACAGGACTGGAGGCCCAGGGTCCCCATGCTGTGTGCAGCCTAGGAACTTGGTGCCCTGCATCCCAGCCACTCTAGCACTGGCTGAAAGGGGCCAACATGGAGCTCAGTCCATGGCTTCAGATGGTGCAAGCCCCAAGCCTTGGCAGCTTCCATGTGGTGTTGAGCCTGTGAATGCACAGTAAGTTAAGAATTGAAGTTTGGGAACCTCTGCCTAGATTTCAGAAGATGTATGGAAATACCTGGACGCCCAGGCAGAAGTTTGCAGCAGGGGTGGGGCTCTCATGGAGAACCTCTGCTGGTCAGTGCAGAAGGGAAATGTGGGGTCAGAGCCCCCACATAGAGTTCCTACTGGGACACTGCTTAGTGGAACTGTGAGACAAGGGCCACCATCCTCCAGACCTCAGAATGGTATATCCACAACAGCTTTGCACTGTGCACCTGGAAAAGCTGCAGGCACTAAACATCAGCCCATGAAAGCAGCTGGGAGAGAGGCTACACCCTGCAAAGCCACAGGATGGAGCTGCCCAAGACCATGGGAACTCACCTCTTGCATCAGCACTACCTGGATGTGAGACCTGAAGTCAAAGGAGATCATTTTGGAGCTTTAAGATTTGACTGCCCTGCTGGATTTCAGACTTGCATGGGCCCTGTAGCACCTTTGTTTGGCCAATTTTTTCCATTTGGAATGGTTGTATTTACCCAGTGTCTGTATCTCCATTGTACCTAGGAAATAACTAGCCTGTTTTTGATTTTACAGGCTCATAGGCAGAAGGGACTTGCCTTGTCTCAGATGAGACTTTGGGATGTGTACTTTTTAGTTTATGCTGAAATGAGTTAAGAATTTGGCAGACTGTTGGGAAGGCATGATTGGTTTTAAAATGTAAAGACATGAGATTTGGCAAGGGTCAGGGCTGGAGTGATATGATTTGGCTCTGTGTCTCCACCCAAATCTCATCTTGAATTGTACTCCCATAATTGCCATGTGCTATAGGAGGGATGTGGTTGGAGATAATTGAATCATGAGGGAATCATCCCCCATACTGTTCTCATGATAGTGAATAAGTCTCATGAGATCTGATAGTTTTATCAGGGTTTCTGGTTTTGCATTTTCCTCATTCTCTCTTTGCCTGCTGCCATCCATGTAAGATACAACTTGTTCCTCCTTGCCTTCTGCCATGATTATGAGGCTTCCCCAGTCACATGGAACTATAAGTCCAATTAAACCTCTTTCTTTTGTAAATTGCCCAGTCTTGAGTATGTCTGTATCAGCAGTGTGAAAATGGACTAATACACATTGTTTCTCTATGTTGCTTAGACTGGTCTTGAAGTCCTGGCCTCAAGTGATCCTCCTGCCTCAGCCTCCCAAAGTGCTGGGATTACAAGCATGAACCACCGAACCCAGACAAGAAAGATTTTTGAAGTTGAATTTACTAAAAATAAATGCTGACTAGGGAAAAAGACCATACATGGATAAAATATGTTTGGCTAATATAATAGCTAGTTTGCACACCACAGCCAAGTGGGATTTGTTCTAGGTATGCAAGATGGTTCAATATTCAAAAGTCAATTATACATTTAAAAATCTCAAGCCATCACATCAGGAGGCTAAAGAAGAAATATAATTATATCAAGAGATGCAGAAAAGTTATTTGACAATAAGTTAATAATTATATTGTCAAATAGTTGTTAATTATGAAAATGCTGATTAATTATGAAAATGCTCAGCAAACTAAAAATAGAGAACTTGCCTAACTTGATGAAGAACACCTACAAAAACCTACAGCTAACATCATACCTAATGGTGAAAAGCTGCATGTTTTCCCCTAAGATCATCATCAAGGAAAGGATGCCACTATCTCTGGTCTTACTCAACATTGTACAAGAATTCCAAGTGAATGCAATAAGGCAAAAAAAGAAAAAAGAAAAAAAAAGGAAACAAAAGGAACATAGATTGGGAAGGAAGAAATAAAACTGGTCTTGTTTGGAGATGTCATGTGTTTATGCAAAAAAAAAACAAAAACAAAGAATCAACAACAACAAAAAATTCTCATGGAAGTAATAAGTCATCATAGAGAAGCTACCCAAGGTTAATACAAAAAAAAATGTCAGTTGCTTTCTTGAATACCAGAAATGACTAACTGGAATTTCAAATGAAAAATAAAGTGCCACTTACATTAATATCAAAATTAAATACCTAGGTATAAATCAAACAAAATCTATCCATGATCTATATGAGGAGTATTTTAAAATTCAGATGAAATAAATCACAGACCTAAATAAATAGAGAGATATTTCATGTACATTGATAGGAAGGCTCAATATTGTAAACATATCAGTCCCTTCCAACTTGATCTATAGATTCAATGAAATCCTAATCAAATCCCAGAAAGTTATTTTGTAGATATTAGCAAACGCATTCTAAAATTTAGTTGTATTCAGTTTTGAAATGACTTCTTAGATACAACATTAAAAGCACAACACATAAAAGAAAATGTTAACTAGTTGGACTTTGTTAAAACTAAAAAATTCTACCCTGAAAAAGGCAATGTTAAGATAAAAAGACAAACCACACACTAGGAGAAAAATATTTTTTGCAAAACAAACTAAAAAAGAACTAGCAACCATAATTTTCAAAAATTTCTGAACTCCCCAAGAAAATAACCCTAATTTAATGAAATGGGCAACATATCTCAATAGACACCTCACCGAAGAATGTATATGGGAGGGAAATAAGTATGTGATTAAATACTCAAAATCATGTATCATTAGAGAACTGCAAATTAAAACAATGATGACTTAATCCTACACAAATACAAGGATGGCTAAAATCCAAAAACATTAACACCTGTAAATGCTGATGAAGATATAGAGCAGCAGGATTGTTCACTCATTGCTGGTGGGAATGCAAAATGATACAGTCACTTTGAAAGGCAGTTTGGCAGTTTCTTACAAAACTAAACATACTCTTGCTATATGATCCAGTAATTGTGCTCTTTGGTATTTACCCAAATGAGTAAAAAAATTATATCCACACAAAAAAGTGTACATAAATATTTATAGCAGCTTTATTCATAATTGGTGGAACTTGGAGACAACTGAGATATGTATGCTACAATAACTGAACAGATAATCGAATTGTAGTATATCCATACCATGGAATACTATTCAGCAATAAAAAGAAATGAATATCAAGCCATGAAAAGACTTGGAGAAAATTTGAAGGCATATTGTTAAGTGAAAGAAGCCTGTCTGAAAAGGCTACATGCTGTATTATTCCAACTACATGACATTTGGAAAAGGTAAAATTATGGAAACAATCAAAAGATCAGTGGATTTCAAGGATGTAGGGAAAGAGAGCGGGAAAGATGAATAGTTGAAGCACGGAGGATTTTTAGGACAATGAGACTGTTCTGCAAGATATCATAATGGCAGATATATGTCATTATACATTTGTAAAACCCATATAGTATATAGCCCTAATGTAAACTATAAAATTTTGTTAATAATACTGTATTGATATTGGCTCAATTGTAACAGATGTACCACGCTAATGCAAGATCTTTATAACAGAAAAAACTTGAGGAGGAGGGTGATATACTATCCAGTCAGTTTTACTGGAAGCCTAAACGTGCTAAAGAATAAAGTCTGTTAATTAAAAATAATAATAATCATGTTTGAAATTAATGGTGTGATATCTTGAATGGCAGTTGATTAAAAAGAAATCAATAAATCATGAAGAGGAGCAGCTGTCAGCCTCTATAATATAATAATCAGGTAGGCTGGTGTGATAGTGGTGTCATGCAGATAGGTGGAGATGTGAAACAGATGATCAGGGGTAGAATTATATACCTGAGAGATAAGTAGTAAAGATGTGATCATTAACATCATATTACACAAATCCAGGTTGAAGTTCCATATCACCTCCTAGTTTACTTTTCAGTTAACTGTTCTTTATCCAACACGTAGCTTCCATTGACTAACTGGCAGTTCTTTAGAATCTAGTTGAAGTCTAGAATCTATTCCAAGACTAGATTCTATTCTAGTCAAGTCTGGAATCTAGCCCAAGTCTAAGAATACTCATTGAGATGGCTGTGGAGGTATCTCTATCAATTTAGTTAAATTTAGGCAATTTTATTATACATTTGTTACCTAAACATTAGAGTGAGAGACGGAATCTCACCCTAGACCAAATATTGGATTAAAGAGTGTCCACGTGGAGAGTTGTCAGTAAATGCATGAGCAGCAGCACTTCTTGTGTTATTTAGTATTTAAAGAAAATGAAAGCAGAAGGAAAAGTATATAAAAGAAAGAATAATATTTAGAACTTTACAGGAAATAACCAACATGCACGCTCACACACACACATACACATACACACACACACACACACACAGCTCAGGGTCAGCCTTAAGAGGACAATGTTCATGGTGATGTAGATGTTGCAGGCAGGAGAGAGCAAGACCGTGGCACCAGGGCCTGAGCATGGGCAGAAAGCACACTGCTGCCCATAAGAATGGGTGTATTATAAAAATCATCAAAGACAGACATTTAATTTATGTCTGGATCCATATACCACAGGCTACACACACACACGTATGTAAATATATGTGAAGGTATGTTTATCTTATACTGTCATCATGGCTGTTATCAAGGAGGGGAGAAAGTTATTTCATTATAAAAGAGATTCTTTATGTTGACAAACAGTTCTGAAATTTCCCTGCACCCAGAAATCACCTTAATGAGCTTTTTAAGAGGGCGATGGCCAAAGATTCTGATTTCTTTGTTTCTAATGAATTTCTGGAATCAGAATTTAAAAGAAAAATAAAATAAGATAATGTTGCCATTCTTAATCTACACTTTGAAAGACAATTAGAATATTTTTAAAAACTTATCTGGGCTTTCAGACTCTGGAGGGTAGCCACTGGGGAACTGTGTATTGATTCTTTCCTCAATGCAATTAAATTGATTTCAGTTCAATTCCATAAACATGTATTCACGATATGCTAACATAAGCATTTAGACAGCGCAGAAAGTAGTAAGGGCACATGCTTCAATCTGTTATATAACATAGGTGCTTCTTCAGGGACTGGAAAGGTGCTATAATTTAATATGAGTACATTTTGAAGAAAGGAATTTTAGTTTACACTTTTAACAGTTGTCCAAGGTATATCCTTTCAGTTTAAAATAAAGTCTGAATTTTCCTTTAAGCTCTTTGTCTTCCTAAAAGTTCTGAAGCAGCTTTCAGCTCGCACTTTTATGACTTATCTCAGAAATGTTGATGATGTGGAGAGTTAACTAATTTAAAAGACTAAATATTTGGGTAAACACAGCCTATCAAATAACAGAAAAATTATGTTGTGAAATATGATAATTTTGGTTCTTCTGTTGAATGTATTAATTTCTCTTCTGTGATTGCTTAGATACATACATCTAGCCAAAAAGAAAAAGAAAATTTATACAATGACAGGATCCCATTCCAATCTCATGGGTTAATGAAGTGCCTCATTACTTGGTTTCTGTTGAGCTGCACTAATTTTATAACCTCTCCCCTCTCCATCTCACTGCTATCCCCTTCCCTCATTTAAAACAACAATGTAAACTCTGAGAGTGGTGAGGATCATTAGAAAGAAACAAAATCACTATGTTTGAATAATAGTAATTAGAAGCATTAGGCACTTTTTGTTACAATGTATTTTAATCACCATAGCACTAGAAGTGGGCATAACTAGATTCACATAATTGAACAAATTAATATTCAGAAAGCTTAAATAAACTGTCCAGGGTTTCTTCAACCCAATTTTTGTAGTAAAAAACCAGGTTTTTGTTTCACGACCAGGAAGTATAAGGTTTGCAGACACTTTGAAGTGTGAGGGGTTATGGAATTTATTGGGTGAAAAGGAAAAAGGAAAAAAACTCAGCAAAGCAAGAGGGGTTCCTATTCACTAGCCCCCATTTCACAGATTGAATCCCAGGTCACCACCCAAAAACAGGAGAGGTCAGGTTCCTTCCCACTGCAAATGACACAAACTTCCCAGGACCCACCCAGTCCTCCCAGTGCACAGCCTGGTCAGAGGTTCTCTCGGGATCCCTTTTTATTTGGCTGTCTCATTTCCTCCTCTAAAGAAATACATATAACTGCCATTAGAATAAGGATAAGGATAAGGACAAAGACCGATCTTAACTGCCTCCTGCTGTTGTGAAGTGCTATTTTGGGGAAATGGCAGTCAGAGCTCACTCAGAGGCCAATCTAAGGGTCCCTGGCAGAAGGGGCCACCGTCAGAGGATCTGTTTGCATGACCTTTTGAAGTTTAATGGCCTGAAGGGAAGAATAGACAAACTGGGTTATTAGAAAACATGTATCAAAATAAAACAAGGGAAGGCGTAAAGACAGCTCAAAAATTCTGAGTCCTTTTACCAGTTTGCACAGGGAGAGAGAGGCCAAAAGCTCCACTAGTTAAAAAAAAAAAAAAAAAAAAAAAAAGGTTTTCCCTTTTGCCAGCATGTCAGGCTTCTGGGTTCCCTTCCCCTGAGCCCGATCCTAAGCCAACTAGTTCCAGGTTTACGAAACTAACACTTTCCAGTTTGGAGGATGCACTCTGAGGGCAGTGTCTCATAGTACGGAGGCACAATTACCTATCAGTGAAGAGAAGACAGAGGAAGAAAAATGAAAAGAAAGATTTTTTTTCAAGGGAGTCCCAGAGGTTCAGGATGCATTTGAAAGGGGTACAGACTGAAGATGAATGGCTACTCATCTAGAAAGAGGGGACTGAGGCATCCCTGGTTCCTTCCCCTTCTTAGCAAATACCCAAGGTACATGAGGGAGGGAAAGTGAGGCATTCCTCTTTCTTTCCTCCCTCCTTATATCCCCGAGTCCTGGCTACTGTGACAGAGTGCCACCCATGGGTATTAAAGTGGCTTTTACCCATGTTAACAGGGAGCCTAGAGAGTGGGAGTGTCCACTCTTACCCATGCATGCCCTGTCTTCCCTGCTGTCCATAGCCTTTGAATTCTCTAGACCTCGTTTTTGCCATGGATTCTAGCATGGCCTTTAACCATGTAACAGGAAGCATGTCTTAACTGGCAGAAATCAGCCACACTCACCTGCACTGTGCCTTTTAACTTCTGTTGTTGTCTGCCTCTGGATCCTTCAGATCCAGTTTTCTTTCCTAGAGCTTTTACATGAAGCTTGGAATTGCGTTTGGGATAAAAATGTGTCTCAGTGGGGATTGCATGGGCTCCTTATCATAAGCCAAATGCTATGGTGAAGCTGTGGAATTGAGTCCTCCTCCAACAAGGGAGATAAAAGAATGTCTGTGACATGCCCAGATAACTGGTGGCTATAGTTACGCTTGCTAGGATTTGGGTACATACTGCTTGGCTTTTGTTAGCTCCCTTGGTCTTACTTTCCCAAAAAGGAAACCTCCAGGTGATGGGCATCCTATTTATTCCCATCACCTGGCAGGATTTGCAGGATAATTGTTCAGAACTAGAATATAGATCCAAATTTCTACATTACCTAACCCTCTTGTTATTTCTGAGCTGCAGCCAGAGATTTCTGGTTGGTTCTCAGGAATAAGCAGGGTTCATCTAAAATGTAGGCAACAACTTAAAAATATCTGAGTTTAGAATTTAATGACAAATGTATGATAAGTTCTGAAAAATAATTTCTCTCTCTCCAGTACTCATTTTTGTTAAAAAAGCAAGTCATGACAGGACTGAGTTGTTTGCAAAATAAACTTTAAACTTACACTTGGCCCAATTATTTGTATAACCTGCAGCAAGAATAATTATTTCTACATAGCATTTTAGATTGGCTTTGATGGAACTCTGTTCCACAAGGAATCTCAGATAAGACCTTTTAAAGCTGAGCCCAGACATGGGTTTGTATTCTCAAATTCCTGTGAGTTGGGTGATCTTATCCTCTTAAGGTCCCAATGTAAACTTGGAGCTCCTGGGCCTTTTAAAAGGTGACATTCTTTACTGACTACAGGTCAGGTTGAGCTTGACTTTTTAACAGGAGGCATACCCTTCCAGTCAAAGCTTTGGTAAGATA
Organism: Homo sapiens; assembly: GCF_000001405.40. Classification (NCBI taxonomy): domain Eukaryota; kingdom Metazoa; phylum Chordata; class Mammalia; order Primates; family Hominidae; genus Homo; species Homo sapiens. The sequence goes on along the minus strand of NC_000007.14, from coordinate 49,380,389 downwards.
ACTGCATCCAATTGCATCCTGTTGCAAAAGAAAATAAATTCTTATTGCACTGATGCAAACAACTATATTGCCATAAGTTTGATCATTAAAAAGTCAGGAAACAATAGGTGCTAGAGAGGATGTGGAGAAATAGAACACTTTTACACTGTTGGTTGGACTGTAAACTAGTTCAACCATTGTGGAAGACAGTGTGGTGGTTCCTCAAGGATCTGGAACTAGAAATACCATTTGATCCAGCCATCCCATTACTGGGTATATACCCAAAGGATGATAAATCATGCTGCTATAAAGACACATGCACACATATGTCTATTGCAGCACTATTCACAATAGCAAAGACTTGGAACCAACCCAAATGTCCATCAGTGATTGACTGGATTAAAAAAATGTGGCACATATACACCATAGAATACTATGCAGCCATAGAAAAGGATGATTTCATGTCCTTTGTATGGACATGGCTGAAGCTGGAAATCGTCATTCTGAGCAAACTATCACAAGGACAGAAAACCAAACACCACATGTTCTCACTCATAGGTGGGAATTGAACAATGAGAACACTGGGACACAGGGCGGGGAACATCACACACCGCGGCCTGTTGTGGTGGGGGAGGGGGAAGGGATAGCATTAGGAGAAATACCTAATGTAAATGATGAGTTAATGGGTGCAGCACACCAACGTGGCACATGTATGCATATGTAACAAACCTGCACATTGTCCACATGTACCCTAGAACTTAAAGTACAAAAAAAAAAAAAAACAACTATATTGCCGTAAGTTAAGAATACTCATAGATCGTTTCCAAATTCTGGACAAACCAGGCAGAGAGAAAGAAACATGCTCCAAATTTTGTTCACAGAAGTAGATGTTACTCAATTATTAAAGACCATAAGTAGGTCAAAATAAGTTTCCTTGACTTTGAAAACTAACACAAGGATCAGCAATATTACAAGCAAAAGTGAAAAAGATTGCTTCTGTTTTCTGAATTCGTTAGGTTAGGTCTTGTTTTGCTTGATATGTTGAACATTTCAGCTCTTTATGAGTCCTGTACATTTTTCCTTTATTCCAATGTTACAATCTCCAAAGTTATTAGAAAACTGTATTTGACCTCACCTGTCAAACTTATATAGCTTATTATAAACCATCTTTTGAAAAAGGATTAAAACAAGGCAACAAGTGCTTGTGAATAACAAAATGTCCAGGGTAGTTACAGTTAGAAACACAACTGACAAAGAAGTTTGGTTATCTCTGTGGTTTACAATAACTTAACATAATAACCTTAATTAAGATAGATAGCATATACTCAGACATTAGAATTTTAGAAATTCCATAAAATTTTGGAACATATATTAGTATTATTCACCAAAATATACCTAAAGAAGATTGAGCACCATTTTGGCAATCCCATGTACCTAAACATGTCAAATAATCCTCTTTACCTCCCTTTTCTGGATACTCCAGGGTCCCTGTGATGCATCCAAAAAGTCAGATGTCAGAAAGACAATTTTGAAACTGAAGTATGATTTGGGAAGCCTGTTAAATATGTTAGAGGTTTAAGAAACTTGATGTTATTAAATAGAATTCCAGGTTACCATAAATTATCCATGTTGCCTAAATGACTCAGAAATTTTAAAAAAACAAAAACCTTTTATAACTCTTTACAAATTTCACTAAAGAAAAGATTGGTGTCTTAAAAGTACATTGTTGTGCTTTTATTTTAATGTTCAATTTACAGAAAAACCAAATAATACCCGTTTGAATTTAGTCAATGTATTCACACATGGAATTTTTGCAAGATTAATTCTGACAACCCTTCCACCACTTGTTTGAACTTTTAGCTTTATTTTATCTAATTTAAAACAATTATTTAACCCTAGTCAAGAATTTGCACTTTTATGCCTTCTTATAAGTGTTTATTAAAAACACATTTTACTGTTCTTACACACCTCACATGTAAATCTATTTCCAGCAGTCTCAATTATATGTCATAATGGTAACTTTTAGCAATTTTTAACTTTAATGTAAAATCTGGTAAGTTATTTTGATTATGTGCTACGTCCAGCCAAGGTTTGACTCTTCTCAGCATAATTAAGGGTATGGTTAGTTCCATATGTCCTCTGACCTTACCAACTGTGAAGCCGGCATATTGAAAAACCAAAAAAGCAGTTTATAACCTTAAAACATTTAGTGTACATAGTATCTGACCTGCATAACTTAGTCTGCCTATTTATATTTTGATGACATTTGCTTTTTACTGATAATCTTTAAGGTGGTTTTTATTTCACAAAGAATAAGCTTAAGTCACATGAACTGAAAGGTACCACAGCTTTTATCTTCTCTTTACAAAAGATTTGATCCAAGTGCTTATCTTCCTTTAGGCCAATTAATTAAAGCTCTTTTTATAGATATCACACATGCAATGCATATGTAACTATGCAGACTGGCAGAAGAAAATCCAGTCCCCATAAGATCTTTCATTTGCCAATCTTCTATTTGAATTATTGGCCTTCAGATGCTTTTAATTCCTGGGATTTCATGAGGAAAACAGAGGTCTCTCCCCTTTCATGCATGCATTAAAAGTGGCAAGCCAAAATGGAGAAAAATAATTCAGTTTACCAAAAAAAAACCATGTATTTTTCCAGCAAACCAAGGTTCAAAAAAAGGAGAACATAAAGGTCTTTTAAATATTACTATATGTTGGATATCCACCTTTAATTGAGCTGGGCACTTCTCAAAAAAATTCTTTTAACTCCCTTATTATCTAACTTTAGTGGTGCCAAGTGGCCAATATTTCTGCCTTTCAAACTTTCCTAAAGGCTCAGAGAAAGGAAAATCCAAGGCATTTCATGGAGGGGAAGGGAATCAACAAATAGCAAAAGGTCATGCAGATATGAAACTCATCCCCTAGCCAGGATTGAATCTGGGCCATATGGAAGCTAAACAAAGCCTGCCACTGGGTTACAGGCCATGCCCCAAATGATATAAAACAAGATGGAGGCCTGTAGTAAAGCTTGGTATGGACTGTACAGAAAGATGCACAAAGCAAACCAGATTGGCTACAGCTTAAGAGTAACCTCACATATCCTTTCTCACAATTAAAACTCTATGGGAACTAAAAACAGTGATCCTCATCATTCCTGGTCCAGCAAAATGTCTTCTAAAAGAAAAAATCCTCATTTAAAAGTCAGCTGTTGACAGGGTAGAGAAAAGGATGAGACAGCTTAAATGCAGGGCTATGTTAACTGCTGACAGAGTGGAGAAGAGAAAACTATCCCTGGGGGAAGAACCTCCTATTCTTATGCAAGTGTTTCCTCCACCAGGGAGAAAAGCTTAATTGCTGTGGGATGGACCTGGACTCCCCGGCTATGGAAGAGGGAGACTGCACAGTGCATAGCAGGGATCACCAGCCAGCCACGTGGGGCATCTTGGGGCCTGGGCATTGACTGTGGCTCATTCCTGCTCTGTGTGGCTGTTGGACACTGCACACACATGTGGGAGACATGGCTATGCACCCCAGCTGGTAGGGAAGTGGGGTCAGGGAGCTTCCCTGCCCAACCATCCTGTGTATGCACCTGTGGCCATTGGGGCAGATGTGAACCACCTCCAGTATTGTAAAAGAAAAGATGGGTGCTGTTACTGTCCTGAAAAAAAGAAGATAAATGCCATAGGACCAAAAGGCTCAGAAGTGAAAGTGAGAGGTTTTGGGTCCCCATTTCACTCATCCTTCCTCAGGCCCCATGTTTGGCACCCAATAATTTGTAGAAAAAACTGGGTTCTTGTCACACAACCAGGAAGAATTAGGCTTACAGACACTTTGAAGGGTGAGGGGGGTTATGAAATTTATTGGGCAAAAACAAAAAGCAACACAGCAAAGAAAGAGGGGTTCCTGTTAATAAGCCCCCTCTCACAGATTGAATCCTGGGTTACCACATAGGTACAAGAGGGGCCATGCTCCTCTCTCCTGCAAATGCTGTGAAAATCCTGAGGCCCCATCTTGTCCACCTAGTGCACAGGTTGGTTGGAGATTATCTGGGTAGCCCTTTTTATTTGGCTGTCTCATAATGCTTCTGGGTGATATGGAATCAAACTCACTGGAAGACATCAATATTAACAAACCCCAACTAAAGAAATCAAAGCTTTTCATTTGAGAGTGATTTTGGTGAGTCTTCAGTGCAATTAGTAGGAATTTTGGTACAATACTGCCATATTTGAAAACCTGGCAAAAATAAATATATAAATCTAAACAATAAAAATCAGGTACAACTACTCATTTATTTATCAATTTGCCAAAGGGAGATTTTGCTAGATCCTAGGTAAGAATTTGAGGGCAGAGCTGGGTTGGGATAATAAATAAATATGCATAAAGATCATCTGTCTCTTCCTCCAGAAGTAAACAGTTGAGGTAATAAAGCACATGGATTCATATCAAAGCAGTGTTGAAGATGGACATTGAAGGACTTGCTGAAAATGCATAAAACTGGAGGAAACAATGATGGTCCATTACACTTTTACATACTTATTCATTTCTTTCTTTCTGTGTTTTCTAAATGGAATAATAATATTGACAGGATTCATTTCTTCCTTAAGGCCCTAAAGAAGATCAGCTAATATGAAAATCTAATTACCATCTTATGCCTCCATCTTTTATACATATGTAACTCTAGAGTCTTTCTTTTATTATCTTTATTTCTTCCTGACAGTTTATAGATTTAATTGAAGTGTCTCATCCTAATAAGAGTATTAATATAATGAGTTAGTAGTGATTTCATTTTATTTTGGACTTTATCTTGTTTCCCACTTAATGACGTATAAATTAACTTGTTCATGAAAGTAAGTCAAATTAATGCATGATAATCTACTTAATAATTTAAAAAGCTCCAGACTAAAAAAACATGTGCTTGAAAACATGTCTGAAATCCAGTCCCTAAAAGCATTGGAATACTTATAAAGAAAACATTTGAAAGAGACAGATATGTCAGATTATGCCAAAAATAATTTCTCTAGTCACACACAAGATTGTTCTGTGTCTGTACCTAAATAATAAATGTGAATAATATTATCCCTTGGATTTCAAACTTTACTATTTCTTAATATCAGTATTACGGAAGTAACAAAGTATAAATAATACCTAGGCTGAATTTTTGGACATACCAGTAGGTACATTAAATATGTAGGCTGTTTACTTACTGGGACTCACATTTTACTTTTAATATTTTGAAACAAACAGAAGGGTGCATAAATAATAATTATTTAAACAAAATGTAGACATACTCTGGAATTTTACTTTAACAAATCACTCTAAATGGAAACAGCTTTCTAGTGCTTTTATATTGCCCTTTTGAGAGAATCGTTTAAAATAACTTATATGAAGGATTTTGTCTAAAAACAATTTTGTTGAAAATATTATAGAATATGTATGGAACACGTTTGATATTTAATAAAGTCATGTAAAAGTGAAGCAGGATTTTTTGTTCCTTATTTCATCTAAATCTGTGTTCTTGTCTCACAACCAGGACACATTAGGCACGCAGACACATTGAAAGGAGAGAAGTGGGGAATTTATTAAGTGAAAGGAAAACTTTCAGCAAAGAGAAGTGTCTTCCACGCAGGTTTCCACCTCACACATTGAATACCAGAACTCCCACAAGAGCTGAAGAGACCAGGCTCCTCCCCTGCATAAGGTGTGAATTCCTGGTGGCTCCACCCTGTTCCCTGAGTGCATGTGGGCCTCCAGTCTGTTGTAGGGATGCCCAAGTGAGATGCTGTGCAGGTTCCTGTAGCTGCACAAAAAATTTGGTGTAAACACTTGTGAGTTGGGTTGGAGATTCTCTGGAGACCTTTCCTTATATCCCTAGTCATTTGTCTGCCTCCTGCCTCTATCAAAAGCTTTGCAGCCTAACTTATCTAACGAAACCCTGCTTCATACTATGGCCATGAACAGGTAACAAATGCCTTAAGCTTCAATCTATCCAATGTAAAATGAGGATAATAATGAACACCACCCTATAGAGCTATGAAAATTCAGTACAATGTTGCTTATGATACTCTTAAAACAGTGCTGTAGGTATGAGTTACTCAAATTAATTTTCATTTCTTTTTCTTACACCTGCATTTCGTTTCAATGTGCACTAGTATTTCAAACCATAAATCCAGGATTACTATCCTAACAATAAATCTCAGTTGTGTTTGTTATGGTCTACCCTCCGACTACCCAGTGTAGTCTGTAGCCCTCTCAATCCCTCAACCATCTCCAACTAGTGCTGATGATCTCCTGACCTTGCTCATTATTTTTTCTACTTTAACATGTTATTTACTTATTTATATTACTTATGATCTGACTTTTCAACTAAAATGTCGGCTCCATAAAAACAACAATTTGTATATGTTTATTCATTTTGTAGCCTCTAAAGTGTTTAACAGTGCCTGGCACATACTAACATTCAATAAATACTTAAATTTAAGCTAAAATTTAAACAAATAATATTTTAATAATTAGAAAGCAAATTTCTTATAAAAGGCTCATTCCATCAAGAAGACATAAAAATCATAAACATGTATGCACTCTGAGGATAAATTTAAAAATAAAAATATTAGTTGGAAACTTTTGAGTCCCACTTTCAATAACAGATACAACTAAGCAGAAGAATAATGACAAAATAAGAAATTGAAGAGCACTATAAACCAACTAGAACAAACAGATATCTCTAAAACACTCTATGCAACAACAACAGAATACACTTTATCCTACAACATGGTTCTCAAGTGCAAATCAATTATTCTCCAGCATAGGCCATATGCTAGGCCACAAAACAAAAATCAATGAATTCAAAAGAATTCAAACCATATGGTGTATTTTCTTCAACAACAATAGAATTTAATTAGAAATCATTGCTATATGAAAATGTAAAAAGTTCACAATTATGTGAAAATAACAATAATTAAAGAATACGTCACAAGGTAAAGGAGAAAAAAATTTCAGATGAATAAAAAGGAATGACAATATACCAAACTTAATGGATATAGATAAGCCAGTGCTCAGAGGAAAATTTATAGTTGTGTTAGAAAATAAGTAATCAATAACATGACACTCCAGCTTAAAAAAAGGAAAAAAGAGATGCCGACTATACCCAAATGACATAAGGAAGAAATAATAAATATTAGAGCAGAAATAAATAAAGTAGAAAATGTAAAAACCAATAGAGAAAATCAATGAAAACTAAAGTTAGTTCTCTGAAAAGATCAACAAAATTGATAAACTGTTAGCTAGACTGATCAAGAACAAAGGAGAGATGATTCAAATAACTAAAATAATATACAATAAAAGGAGATATCACCACTGACCTTAAAGAAATACAAAGAATAAGAGAATACCATAAGCGACTTTATGAAAAAAAATTCCTGGGATCACACAAACTAGAAAAACTGACTCAAATAGAAATATAAAATTTGAATATAATTGTAATGACTAAAATGATTTAATTAATGACTTTAAAACTTCTCATGAATAAAAGTTCAGGCCCAGATGGATTCACTGCTAAATTCCACCAGGCATTTAAAAAAGAATTAATACAAATTCTTTATGAAGTCTTCATAAACACAGAAAAAAAATAATTATTTCCCAACTTATTTTATTTTCAGTACTATTCTTATCAGCATAATCCTGATACCAAAATAAGAAAAAAATCAAATAGAAAGCTACAGATTAATATCCCTTATGAATATAGACACAATTAAATTCAGTAAAATATCAGCATGTGAAATGAAGTAGGATATAAAAAGATTAAAACATGCCCAAGAGGGATGTAATCTGATAAACCACTGTTGGTTTCACATTTAAAACTCAGTCAATGCAATACATCATGTTAAAAATATAAAGAGCAAAAATGAAAACCACATGATCATTTCAACAAATGAAGAAAAAACATTTGACAAAATCCAACATATTTTCATATAAAAAGCATTCATTGAACATCTAGAAATAGAAGAGAACCTCCTCAAACTAATAATGGGCATCTACAAAAACCCCCGCAGCTAACCTCACACTAAAAAGTGAAAGACTGGAAACATTTTCTCTACAATAAGAAACAAGATAAAATTTCTGTTCTTGCCATTTCTTTGTATACAATATTTTACTGGAAGTTCTCCTAGGGTAATTTGAAAGGAAATGATATAAACTATATCCAGATTTCAAAAACAAAAAAGTAAAACTACACCTATATACAGATGATAGCATCTTGTACACAGGAAGTTCTAAAGAATCCACTAAAAACATTAGAGGCAATAAATGAGCTGAGCAAAATTTGTTTCAACCTCAGTGTGATGAAATTGATTTATAGACAAGAAGAGATTCAAAGAGACAGGAATTTCACTCCCTACCCACTTGGGAACCAGAAATTTAAGGGAATTATTGGCAGGTAACCAATGACTGAAGATAAAATGGAAGAATGGAACAGAAACTTCAGTGACCATACACAACAAATATGCAAAATTGTTTGCAAATAAATGGTTTGCAAAATATGATTGCAAAATAGTTTGGAAAATCACAATAGCATTGCTTCAGCCATAAACAAGCAAAGAACAAGCAATCCCTGAAAAACGAGATAATTACATTTCCAGAATTACCTTACATATTACTCAGAATTCCCTCCAGTTATAAACAAACATTTTAAAACATAAAAAATAAGAAAATACAGCTCATTTGCAGAAACTAAAGAATTTGTTTGAAAGAATTCCTGAGGAAGCGCAGACTTTAGAATTATTAGTCAATAACAGTAAGTCGGATGTCTTAAATATGTTTGATGGTTTAAAGGAAAACATACAAATAACCAAAGAAATCAGAGAAAATAATGTCTGAACAAGATGAGAATATCAAAAGAAATAAAGAAAAATAATATAAATAAACAGAAATGAAATTCTGGAAAATCTAATAAATTATTTAGTAAAACTAAAATTAAAACCATATTAGAGAAATTCAATGGTATATTCACACAAGCAGAAGAGAGTAGCAGCAAGCTTGAAGACATTTGAAATTTTCCAGTCTGAGGAGCAAAAGAAAAAAGAATGAGAAAAATAAATATAGCTGAACAACCAGTGAAATACTACCATGCTTACCAACATACACATTGTAGGAATACCAGACAGGGAAGAGAGAAAGAAAGGGAAAAAAAAAATATTTGAGGATTTATGGCTGAAAATTTGCAAATCTGAGGAAAGATTTGAGTAGCACATTTAAGGCCTCAGCTAACAAATAGCCTGGAATCCATGCCACTCAAAGACATATTGTGTTTATAGGCTGGAATAATTAATATTGTTAAAATGTTCATATAACCCAAAGTGATCTATAGATTGAATGCAATCCTTTTCAAAACACCAGTGGCATTTTAACAGAAATATAAGAAACAAATTGAATATTCATATGGGACCACAAAAGATACGGAATAGTCAGAGAAATTATGAGAAAGAAAAACAAAGCTAGAGGATCATCTATTAATTTCAAAATTTAGTCATTAAAAGAGTATGGTAATGTCATAAAATAGACATACAGACCAATGGAACAAAATAGAGAGGCCAGAAAATAATCTACACATTTATGATCAATTGATCTTTGACAAGGACACCAATGGGGCAAGGACAGCCTCTTCAATAAACTGTATTGGGGAAACTGAATATCCACATGTCGAAGAATGAAATTGAACCATTATATCTGATTGTATACAAAAGTCAAGTCGAAATAGAATAAAGATTTAAATATAAGACCTGAAACCATAATGCTCCTAGAAGACAAAATAAGGAAAAAACTACTTAACATTGGGCTTGGCAATGATTTCATGGATACAGCACCAAAAGCATAAACAACAAAAGCAAAATAGACAGGTGGGATTGCATCAAACCGAAAAGCTTCTGCACAGCAACTGAGGCAAGCAATAGTGTGAAACGGTAATGACAAAATATCTGTAAACCATGGATCTGATAAGGGGTTAATATCCAAAATATTTATTAGGAACTCCAATAACTCAATAGCAAATAACAAATTATCTGATTAAAAAGTGGGCAAAGGACTTGTGAAGAAATTTCTCAGAAGAAAACATACAAGTAGACAAAAGGTATATGAAAATCTGCTCAACATCACTAGTCATGAGGGAAATGCTAATCAAAACCACAATGAGATGTTTGAATGGATATTATCAAAAAGACAAAAGATAAATGTTGAGGTTGTGGAGAAAAGGGAACCATTTTGAAAAACTGCAGTACAATTTCACAACCAGGATATTGACACTGATACAATGCACTGATTTTATTCAGATTTCCCCAGTTTTACTTGTACTAATCTCTCTCTCTCTCTCTCTCTCTCTCTCTCTCTCTCTCTCTCTCTCTCTCTCCTATTTGGCTGTATATATTATTTTCACTTATGGCCACCACCACAGTAAAGATACTGTGTTCCAACAACACAGAATCTTTGTGTTGTTCTTTTGTAACCACAACCAATGATTCAGAATTCATTTCAGAGATACAGCTAAGGGAAGCTGAATTGAGATCCATTTAATTTGGACTTAAAAATATATTTATATACAGTCACTTCTGTGCACAATTAGATTATCATTGCTATCCATCTCTGTATAAGAAACATTTCCAGAAATATCACCAAATTTCAACAGCAGAATGACAAAAGATGTGAATATGAAGAGAGAAGGGAATTCTTATACATTGTTGGTGGGAAAGTAAATTGGTATAGCCATTATGGAAAATAGTACAGAGATTCCTTAAACAAATATAAAATAAAACTAGCATGTGATCCAGAAATTTCACTTCTAAGTATATATCCAAAAGGGAATCACTGTCTTGAGAAGATACCTGGACTCCTAGGTATCTTTTCACAATAGCACTTTTCACAATAGCAAAGATATAGAAACAAGCTAATTATCTATCAATGGATAAATAGACACAAAAAGTGTCATGCAAATACACACACACACACACACACACACACACGAATTCTATTCAGCCTTTAAACAGAAGGAAATCCTGCCATTTGTGACAACATGGATGAACCTGGAGAACATTATGCTAAGTTAAATAAGCCAGATACAGGAAGATAAGTACTGCAGGATCTCACTTACATGTGGAAACTAAAATGGTCAAATTCACGGAAACAGACAGTGAAATGATCATTTCTAGGCACTGGGGAGAGGGGAAAATTAGAAGATGTTGACTAAGGGTTACAAAGTTTTAGTTATGTCAGATGAAAAACTTCTGGAGTGCTAAGGTACAGCAATGTAACTATAGTTACCAATATTGCATTGTATACTTAAAATTTGCTAGAACAGTAGATCTTCAGTGTCCTCATCATGAAAAAAAGAAAAGAAAATTAAAATGATAACTATGTGAGGTGAAGAATATGTTTATTAGCATCATTGTTGTGATTGTTCCATAATGCATATGCATATCAGAATGTCAATTTGTATACCTTAGATATATACAGTTTTTATTAGTCAATTATTCCTCATAAGCCTGGAAAAATATACAAGAGAGGGAAAAAGAAGGAAATCAAAATAGTGTACCACAATCAGACTTTTAAAAATCTCAGATCAGTAACCTAACTATAACCTTAAGAACTAGTGAAAGCAGACCCAACCCAAATCTAGCAGAAGGAAGAAGAAAAGATATAATAATGGTTAGGGAAGAGATAAATAAAAGAGAGGGAAAATAGCAATAAAGAAAATAAGCAAAAATAATTTGGTCCTTTACCAAAGAAAAGCAAACTTGAAAAACTTTATATTAAACTAAGAAAAAAAAGAAAACTCAAATTAGCAAATGAGAACTAAAAGTAGGAAAATTACTAATAGTTTTATAGAAGTGAAAGGAAGTCTAAGAGAATATTATGAATAATATACACTAAACACTGGATAACCTATGTGAAATGGGCAAATTTTTTGAAATATACAATCTACATAAACTAACTAAAGAAGAAATAGAAAATCTGGATAGATATACAATCAGTGAAGAGATTGAATCAATAATAAAAAACTGCCTGCCCAGTGAAGGAAAAACCCAGGGTAAATGGCATCACTGGTGAATTCTGCCATGTAAAGAAAAATTAACACCGTTTAGTCTCAAGTCTTCCAAAAGTATTGAAGAGAAAGGAACACTTCTCTTTTTATTCTATTATGTCAACATTACTCTAGTAGCAAACCAGACAGAGATGTTAGAAGAAAAAAATAATAAATTTAGATCAATATCCCCTATGAATATTGCTAAAATTTGCTAAAAATATTAGCAAATTGAATTTAGAACACATTACAGGAATAATTCATCACGATTATGTGGGATTTTTTTCCTGGAATGCAAAGGTTGCATCTACATACAAAAATGAATGAAATATAACATTAATAGAATCAAGGAACAAAAATGACATGATCATCTCGATGCAGGAAAAACATTTGACAACGTTCAACGCTCTTTCATGATAAAGCCTTCAACAAACTAGAAATGAAAGGAAACTTCATCAATATGATAAAGGCCATATATGAAAAGCCCAGCAAGTAAAATTGTCTCTGTTTGCAGACATTATGATCTTATAGGTAGAAAACCCAAAGCATCCACAAAACAATTGTTAGAGTTAATAAATTCATCAAAGTTCTGATTGTAAAATCGAGACACAAATAATCATATTCTTATGCACTCAAAAGAAACAATCTGCAAAAATATTTAAATGAAAAATTCAATTTATAAGAGCATCTAATCTAAAAAATACAGTAATTAGAAATAAATTTAACCAGGGAGGTGAGACATGTAAAATATAACCAGGTAGATGAGACTTCTATAAAATATTCTAGAATGAAATTAAAGATGTAAATAAATGAGAAAACATCCCATTTTGTGCTTTAGAATGCTTAATATTTTTGTGATGACAATACTCCCCAAAATGCTCTACAAATTAAATTTAATATCTATCAGAACATGAAGTTTTTTTGCAAAGCAGGAACACCCATCCTAAAATTTATGTGGAATATAAAGGAATTCCCCCAAACCAATGCTATCTTGAAACAAAAGAAAAAGATTTAAAAACACACTCTTGCTGATTTCAAAACTTACTTCAAAGCAACTGCAATTGAAACCGTGTGGTCCTGGCATAAAAATAGGCATATAGATCAAAAGCTTGAATTTAAAAAACCCAGAAAGAAACCCTCAAATATATAGTCCAGTGATTTTTCACCAAGTTGCCAAGATAATTTGTTATGGGTTGAATTTTGTCTTTCCCCAAGTTTATATGTGCATGTACTAATCCACAGTACCTCAGAACGTGACCATGTTTAGAAATAGGGTGATTGCAGATGTAATTAGTTAAGATGAGATCATACTGGGGTAGGGTGGGCCTCTAATCCAATATGACTAACGTCTTCATTAGAAGGGAAAATTTGGAACACAGAGGTACAGGGAGAATGCCCTGTAAAGATTGAAGTTATGCTGCCCAAAGCCAAGGAATTCCAGAAGGTAAGGCAGAATTGTTGAACAGATGCTTGCTAGTACTTTCACAGGGAAGTGCCCTGCCGACACCTTGATCTTGGGCCTCTGGTCTCCAGGATGTGAGACAACACATTTCTGTGTAGTAAGCCATTCAGTTAGTGTTACTTTATTATGGTAACCCTAGAAAACTAATACAGATTTTAGTGGCAGAAATTGGGGTACGACTCTAATAAATATCTAGAAAAGTTGAAGTGGCTTTGAAATTGGGTAATCAATAGAGGCTGGGAGTTTTGAGATGCATGATAGAAAAAGCCTACATTGTCATAAAGAGGTGGTTGGTAGAAATACTGATGTGACAGGCAAGTTAGTTAAGGGCTCAGAAAGAAAAAAAAGCTGGAGGGAAAGTTCTTATGGTCTTAGGGAATACATACATTATCATAAACAGAGTGCTGCTAAAATATGAGTGTTAAAGGTACTTCTGGTAAGGTCTCAGACAGAAACAAGGTAAACTTTATTAGACTCTGGAGGACACGTGATCCTAATAGAAAGTGACAGAGAAGTAGGTTGATATGCGTTTTACTATTTTGTGGAAAGTAAAACATGTAAGTGAAGAACTTTAATATTTAATTGAGGAGATTTACAACCAAAGTTTGGAATTCACAGCCTTGTTCTCATTGCTACTTATGTGAGAGGAAGAGACAAATTGAAAAAGGAAATCCCAAGCAAAAAGAAATATGAACTTAGAAGATTTTTGCAATGTAAATATGCAATTATCAGTCTATCACCTTTTTAAAAAAAAATTGAAAGAATGTGCTCTGGAGAAAACACTAAGGGTGTGGCTGGACAACCATTCGCTAAAGAGATTAGGCATGTGACCTGTAACCTGAGGATCTAATCAACCATCTCAACAGTCAGGTTGGACTAAGGGGAGATAACTGAGACATAATGAAGGAAGGCTGCTAGATTTTGGGGATTCTATTGGCAAGAAACAGGCTGATCCATGTTATCCTTCACAAAAGAGAAGAATGAGAGTGAGGGCGGAGCTACCTCCTCAGTTCCAGTGAGTGGGGCTGCAACCCAGGGCAGGGGGTGGCTGCCACCCTGGTGAGCCTGAGGGCAGATCACCTAGTTAAAGAGGGTTATTTTCAAGCCTTAAAACCTAACAGAGTTTTCTCTCACAGTGTTCAGACTATCTTGGAACCTCTGATTCCTTTTCCTTCTTACAATTTCCCTTGATATGAATCAGAATATCTATGTTATCTATATCTGTCCCACCATTATACAGTGGGCCAACCCTCCTCCTATAACTCTGATTGCAGATCCAGCTAAGGGACTTGAGTATTTCCAGACCTAGTAATCCACAGGGAGTCCTAGAATCAATCCTTTTTGCATACTAGTATACAGGGAAGCAGATTAACTTGTTGCCTGCTTTCACAGATTCACAGATAGAGATAAATGTTGCTTCAGGAGGAATCATGACCTGAGTCTTACCCGCATCTAATTTAGAAGACAGTTGGATGAGATTTTGTACTTAGAGTTGATGGTGAAATTAGTTAATAATTTGGGGGATGATGGAATGGGATGAATGTATTTTGCATGTGAGAAGAACATGAATTTGGGAGGAGTAGAGGGCAGACTCTTATGGGTTGAATTGTGTCTTCCAAAATTCACTGTGGAAATCCTAACACCGGTACCTCAGAATATGACCTTACTTAGAAATAAGGCCTGTTTTAGTCCTTTTGGGCTAATCTAACAAATTACTATAGATTGTGTATCTGTAATATACTATACTATTAATCTTTGTATAAATAAAGTATACTATACTATTTATAAGCCACAGAATAATAAATTATAAATAACAAATTTATTAAATATGACAGAAATAAATAACAGAAATAATAAATAAGAGAAATGTATTTCTCACAGTTCAGAGACCAGGAAGTTGAAGATCAAGGCACCAGCAGACTCAGTGTCTGGTGAGAAACAACTTTCTGGTTCACAGACAGCTGCCTTTTCCTGGTATCTTCACATGGTGGAATGGGCACAGATCTCTCTGAGGCCTCTTTTATAAAGGCACAAATCTCGTTCAATAGGGGTCCACCCTCAGCTCTTAATCACCTCCCAAAGACTTTACATCCTGGTACTATCACTTTGGGGGTTAGGCTTTCAACAAACAAATTGTAAGGAAGACCACAAACATTTGCACAATAGCAGGTCCAATGCAAATGTAATGAGTTAAGATAAGGCCATACTGGAATAGAGTGGACCCCTAATCTAATGTAACTGGTATCCTTATAAAAGTGGAAGATCTGGACATAGTGATAGAAAGAGAATGCAATGTATAGATTGAAGTCATGCTTCCACAAGCCAAGGAAGTAACAGAAGCTAGGAGGAAGGTCTGAATTAAGTTCTTCACTAACACCTTCAGAAGGAGCATGGCCTTGCCAACACTTGATCTTGGACTTCTAGCTCTTGGACTACGAAAAGACAAATTACTGTTTTAAAAATAATTTGTTGTATTTTGTTATCAATGTCCTAGCAAATTAATACATGACTCAGTGGGGGAAAGAACAGTCTTTTCAACAATGGTGCTGTAAATTTTAGATGTCTACATTTAAAAGAATGAAGTTGGACCCTTACCTTATACCATACATAAAGTATAACTAAAAATTTATTAAAATTTGAACTTAAATGCTAAAACTATAAAACTGTCACAAGAAAACATAGAGAAACATCTTTACATTGGATTTGCCAACTTTTTTTTGACATGACATCATCAGCACAGGCAATACAGGAAAATAACAGGTTTATTACACTTCATATATTTTTTTAAAAGGATACTATCGAAAGGTGAAAATATAACCAAAAATGAGGGAAAATACTCACAAATCTCAATGTATAAGGGATTAATATCCAGAATATATAAAGAACTCCTACAACCCACCAAGAAAAACCAAACAACCCAATCTAAAAATAAAAAGGATTTGAGTAGATATTTTCAGAAAAGATATACAAATGGCCAATAATCACAATAAAAGATGCTCTGTATCATTATTAATTAGGGAAATGCAAACCAAAGCCACAATGAGATATGAATTCACACCCTTTAGGATGTCTATTGGCAAAAAGATGAAAAATAAGTATTGGCAAGGATATTGAGATATTGGAATCTTGTACACTGCTGCTGGAAACACGAAATATTACAGTCACTATAGAAAAATAGTTCGGCAGCTCCTCAAAAAGCTAAACCTAGAACCATATTTCAATCTGACAATTCTATTCCTAGATATTTGCCCAAAGATTTTGAAAGCAGGGACTTGAATAGATATTTGCATGTTAGTGTTCACCGCAGTATTATACACAGTAGTCCAAAGGTGAAAACAACACAAGTGTGTATCATACAATGAATGGGTAAGCAAAATATAGCATTTATGTATAATGGAGTATTATTCAGCCGTAAAAAGGAATGAAGTTCTGATATGTACTGCAACTTGATGAACCTTGACAACATATGGTAAGTAAAATACACTAGACAACAAAGAACAAATATTCTATTATTTCACTTAAATGGGTACATAAATGGGCAAATTCTAGAGGCAAAAACTACAAAAGAGTTTACAAGGTTTGGGGAAGGGTAACAGGGAATTATTGCTTAATGGTTACACAGTTTCTTTTCAGGGTTATTAAAAGTTTGAGGAAATGGATAGCTATGATGGTTACACAACATTCAGTAGAGGTCCACCCTCAGCTTCTAGTCACCTCCCAAAGACTTCACATCCTGGTACCATCACTTAGGGGGTTAAGATTTCAACATACAAATTGACAACATTATGAATGTAATTAATGTTACTTAATTATACACTTAGTGATTACATTGACAAATTTTATGTTGTAGATATTTTCACACAGTTTTCTAAAAATAATGTAATTTACTAAAAAACCATTGAACTGCACACTTACATGGGTAAATTATTTGGTGTATGAATGGATTTCAATAAAGTTGTTTAAAATGAGCTAATTATATGAATAGACTCATGTCAATCAGAAAAATGAATGCCTAATAAGCACATAAAAAGATACTCAACATTATTAGTCATTAGGAAAATAAAAACAAAAATTACATTGAGATACTACTTCCCACCCATGAGGACGGGTATAAGAAAAACAAAATTGGCCGGGCGCGGTGGCTCACGCCTGTAATCCCAGCACTTTGGGAGGCCGAGGCGGGCGGATCACGAGGTCAGGAGATCGAGACCATCCCGGCTAAAACGGTGAAACCCCGTCTCTACTAAAAATACAAAAAATTAGCCGGGCGTAGTGGCGGGCGCCTGTAGTCCCAGCTACTTGGGAGGCTGAGGCAGGAGAATGGCGTGAACCCGGGAGGCGGAGCTTGCAGTGAGCCGAGATCCCGCCACTGCACTCCAGCCTGGGCGACAGAGCGAGACTCCGTCTCAAAAAAAAAAAAAAAAAAAAAAAAGAAAAACAAAATTATAACAATTAAATAGGACATGAGAAATTAGAAGTGTTCTATATCATTGGTGGGCATATAAAAAGGTATAGCCCCTTTGGAAAATAACTTGGCAATTCCGCCAAAAGGTTAAACATAGAGTTACCACATGATCAAGAAAATCCACCAGGAGAAAAATTAACACATTACATTCACATAATAAACTGCACATGAATGTTCACAGGAGCATTAGTCTTAGTAACCAAAAAGTGGAAACAACCCATCAAATGTCCATCAATCTATATATAAATGAATAAATAAAATGTAGTATATTCAAACAATGTAATATTATTAAGTAATGACAAAGAATGAAGTACTTTTATATGATGAAACCACATAGCTGAACCTTGAAAACACTATGCTAAGTGAAGTAAGAAAATCACAAAAAAACTTTACATTGTACTCTTTCTTTATATGAAATGTCCAGAATGGACAAATCTTTAGAGAAAGGAAGCAGATTTGTAGCTGGAGGATGGGAATGGATGGAAAGTGACTGCTAATAGGTAGGGGGTTTCTTTTTAAATTAAAAAAAAATTGTTCTAAATTAGATCCTGGTGATAACTGCCCAACTTTGTGAATATACTTAAAATTATTGAATTGCACATTTTAAATTGAAGAATTTTATGATACGTGAATTATATCTCAAACCATTTAGAAAACATAAGTGCCCATTTACCAAATATAATATTTAAAAATTAAAGAAAATGTTGCTTTTATTCAATTTGTTTTCAAGATTTTAAGTTGAATATTTGAAAATAATCTTTATCCAAATTTAAGCCAGTTTAAACCAATATATTGATTAAGAAGTCCAGGATTCCCTTCAATTACTTCAGTCTTTGCACCCCTTTGTCATAGATCAAGTTCAAATTTACATTTTACTCCTTAAATTGTTTTCAAGTTGACCTTAAAACATTAATGTTAATTTCCAGTTTCTCCATACAAAGTCTTAGAGAACAATTTCTGCAGTGCTTTTAAAACTTGTTTTACCTTACAGACGTGTTTCCTTGGTCATATTGCCTTTCCTTTATTTCTACTCTAATTTCAGCACATGTGCCTCTTCATTCTTTTAGGTCTAGTTAAAAGCAAAAAAACGAACTTTTGATTGCCATTCAAAGCAATTTCACTACACATGCATTTTATTTCTACTCCTAGTCAATTTTCCATGTTTAAGTCTGTAGATGGTGGTATAGTCCTTGGACTAAGGCCATCATCTTAGTTATCTCAACATCTCTCAGGGCTTGGCACAATGTTCAGCACATAATAGGTCAACATCACATCTTTCAATAAGTAAAAGTGTATGAAAGTAGCTTAAGATGTTAATCAATCAGATTTTGGCAGAGCCGATCATTATACTAACATTTAAAGGACTTTCCTCTGTAAACGACACTGACAATTTTAAAGAAATTAAAAGTCACGGCTACTTTTTCTTCATATTCCCAAATAAATAATAGAAAGAGAGTAAAAAATTAAACTCAGATGACAAAATAATTAGAAGATGATGCAACTATACTTTGTTTTACATTTTCAACCATTTAAGTCCAATTAAAAAATAAAATACTATAAGGTAAGCCTATCTTTATTACTTCTATTTTTCAGATGGGTTTATTTACAAGACTGAGCCCACCTCTTTCTTTGAAGCCTTCTGTCACTTATAGTTCACTAAGGTATTTCTATGAGGGATTAAGGATGAAAGGAATTTGTCATTGAAGGCAATTTCAGACTTAATGCCTCATTCACAAAAGGGAAAGAAAAATAAACCGTCCCATTTTTCAGCCAGTCAGTTTTTAAATTTGTCACAAATGAAAGACTGAACTTGCTGGGAAAGAAAGATTTATTTGTTTGTAGGGACAAAAAGGAAAAATAGTCTGAAATCCCTCAAACAACACCTATTTCAAAAAATAACAGAAAAAATCACTTCCTTGAGGGAATAAAGCATTAAATATCTTAAGCACTATCTCTTAGATACACATACACACACTTCTTTGTTGATCAGAATATATGCCAGATGAAAATGTCTTTAGAGTTTTATAATGTGGGATTTTGATTCTTTACTTAAATCTCTAACCTGGAAGGTCAGATAAAGGTCATTAAGGTTATAACTATCATCTCAGGTCCTCTACATTATAGAGGTCTATAAACTTACACATTTACACCTTCTTATTCTAAAACAACTCCTAAAAGACTAGCCTATCTGTTCTTCTACTCTCAAAGAACTCTCTCTTAGCAGTTAGCCCTAAGAGAGTAGCCTAGGATTGTACCAAGGGTATGAGTTTAGAGTTGACAGATTAAGGTTCAACTAACACTTTGTAAACTTGAAGTTGTGTGGAGTTACAAATCGACTTTGTGATCTAACTCATAAAATTATTATAATAACAAAATGAGATGGCATATGAAAAGAAATTGGCCCTTAGTAATTTCTTTTCTAATTAAAAATTTAACAGTGAATACATTTTCCAAAAATGGGGACAATTTTGAATGAGGTGTAAACCAAAGCAACTTTTCAGAAGCAAATTAGATAAGGTCAATGAATATATGGATTCATAACCTTTGAAATCCAGTAGTTCCACTTCTAGGTAATTAATACATAAAGATATGCAAAACGTGCAAAGGGGCTTGTGTAAGGATATAGGAAAAAATTGCTCATGAGTTAGTGTGACTCATTTGCAAATATAAGTATGCAAGAAATATGACATTTGTTTATTCTAAGAAATGCTACTTTTGACTATAAGTTCTCCATTTTGCCTTGTTTTTGGAAAATGGTAAAGTTAATTTTTCTGCCAGCCTAAAGTCAGAATTAATGCTGAATTGTAAAGAACAAAGTCTTTTTTTTGTAAATTGGATTTTGTGAACTGAGATTTGTATTCTCCAAAAGTATATCATCTTATATTTCATCTTATATTTCAACTTAACAACAATTTTGTAAGCAATGAAGGTGACAGACAACTTATGAGATGACACAAGGTGATGTGCAACCATAAAATTCAGATGGCAGGGAATTCTACAAGAAAACTGTCTAGTGTCTTTAATGAATAAATTAAAAGGGAAAATAAAGAAGAATGGAGAAGTCTGTAGATTAAAACAACCTTGCAAAAACACATCAACCAAATGCAATATATGAATTTTATTTGGATCCTGATTCTAATAAGTAACCATTTGAAAAATGTAACAATGGGGAAAATTTAAATACTGGTTAAATATTTTAAAACAATATAGAATTATTATTTTTAGTTGTTATGATGTTATTTACATTATATTAAAAATAGATCCCTTATCTTTAAGAGAAACATTTTGAAGTATTTATATAATTACTGGTTTGTCTTTCTAGAATTTGTTTCAAAATAATCCACTGTGTATGTGAATGTGGGGGTTGGGGGAGGAGGTGAATAAGAAAGGCAAGATGAAACAAGATTAATTCTTGTACATAATTGTTGGATCTTGGAGATAGATTTGTGGGAATATATTTCAGCGTTTCCTCTACAACAAAAATGTGAATATTAGGGTGTTTAAAAATGTGTCTGAAGTAGAAAGTTGAAAAAAATCCTTTATTGTTAAACTGTAGCACTGATGTGCCAATAGTATTCTTTGCTGTTAGAAATAATCATCTTTGTGATTTGAACCCAACCGGCCAATCACTTCTTGGAGATCTAATGAAATGTCCTTTCATTTAATTCATGTATCAATAAAGGCACAGCAGCTATGCATTAATCCCTCATACAATGAATCATTTATACATCAGGAACCTTATTTTTGCTGCATTGAAATTCTTTCTTGGGTATTTTTTAAGCATTGCAAATTTTATGAAAACATTTCCTTTACCTTTGATTTTCTCATATATGGAAAGGATTGTTTGCTCTATGCAAACCCCAAAAAGTGTAAGCTCTCTATTTAAATCTGAAGGCTATTTGAGATAAGTTCCCCATGTAATTTAAAGTGGATTAAAATGAACTTTTCTGAGCCAAACCTAAATAATTCACTAATGCTGATGTTACTTTTTTTTTGTACTTTTAGTTATGTGCACCCGAGTAGAATAGCGTCAAAGTGTGAGGAACTAGTGTACTCAGAGATTCAGGAACAGGTCCATTGAGTCTTTTTCCTTCTGTGTATTTTTTTTTCCTGTAGCTGTAGACATTTTAGTAAATTGACCAGATTCTTTACATATAAAACATTGTGTAATTCTAAGAAAGTGATTTTGATTTTTTAAATAAGCTTCACATGAAAATTTTAAAGTTGAAAAATATAAAGAAATAAGTTAATGTGCTACGATGGAAATTGTGACAACACTTAGGTAAGGGAATGTATTATAGTGGTTACTCTTATAAATTATTTTTAATAGAACTTTATATGTTAGCCATGATCTCAATTTTTTTCCTCTTAATTTTCAGTATCTTTTTATAAGAGTGTTAAGTAATTAATATTATTAGCATTTTAGAAACAGGAAAATAGGCTTGAAAGGTTTAACGACATATGTAAGGAAGAACACTCAAGTAGTAAGCAGGGAGCCCGGGGGCATAACTCAGTTCTGTTCATTCTGAATCTGGGATTCTTGCTATTATATCAGTCATGCTGTTACCAGTATTCAATAAAGTTTTAATAAGGGAGTTTTCAAAATCTCTTTAAACATATTATTTTGGTATATTCATCCTGTCTTTGGTCCTAAGTTAGCTTCTGCAACCTCTCGTATCTTTGCAAGATACAGGAAAATAAATTACTTAAAAATCCCTGGCAAAGTTATGTCAGCAAAATGATGGAGTAGATACATCACATAGAAACATCGAAAAACAAGCAAAAACAGTAAAAACTAACTTTGTCAGAACTCTGGAAAACAGTCAAAGGTTAAGCAACAAGTAACTGCTAAAACTAGAAAAAGACAACATAAAAAATGGAAAAAAAGCTTTATAGTATGTTTCCCTTACCAGGCCTCACCCCATGTCTAATGTGGCAGCAGTCTTGCAGACATCAACCCATAATCCCTGAGCAGTGTGAGTCCCTGTTTCAGAGGGAACAGAGGATATCTTATTGGCAATTCTGGCTTACATCTGTTATAACCTGCCTGGGGTCAATCTAAAGAACTTGCACAACGTGATTGTATGTTTTGCCTAATGCACAACTTACAAAGGCTGGAAAAGCAGTGGGCATTGCTCAAAAACATTGTAAGTAATCAGGTAACTTGAAGCTGTCCAGAGCAAAAGATTACGGTTGAGACATACAATATGCTTCCTAAAGCCTGAAAGGAAAATGTGGGGAGAGAGATTCTTTTGGAAAGTAGGGCATTCAAAAACATCTGTGTATATGCGGGAATTTAGAAAGCCAAGCACATGCCCAGGGCAAGATGCATGCTCAGAAAAGACCTAAGAAGACTGCAAGTCTCACATTAGGATAATCACTAGGTTCAATGCAGCCTGCATAAATTTTGAAACAATTCCTCAGTATACAGCCAATCTGCAAAGGCCAGTAGAGATTTTATTTCTTTTCTTCTTTCTCCTTCTCTCTAACATTTTCTCACTCTCTCTTTCTCTCTCTTGGCATTCAAGAACATCTCTGTAAAATAACAACAACAATGACAAAAAAAAGAAAACACAAGAAACAGAGACTCAGTTACCACACACAACAAAAAAAATAGACCCTGCAAATGTAGTTGGCAAAAGTCATTAAACAAATGGACTACTACAACCTTCACCAATTACAAAAAAGAAAAAAAACTGTGGGAGATAGAGAATTTAATTTCCAGAGTTACCATACTATATTTAACATTCAAGTGTCCAGATTTCAACAATAAAAATACCAAGGACAGAAAGAAAGAGGAAAGCATGGCCTATAAAAGGAAAATAAACAGTCCATCCAGACTTCACCACTGTGCAATATATCCATGTAAGAAAACTGTACTTTTATCCTTTAAATTTATACACATTTAAAACAGAAACTAAATAAATGGTCAGAAGCCATCCTTGATGAGGCCAAGGATGGCCTTACCTTAAAGTCTTTAGCACTGGACATGTCAAAGACTTTAAAACAACTGTCTTAAATATGCCCAAAGCATGGAATTGAAACCTGGTCAAAAAACTAAAAGAAATATGAAAAGTTATTTATAAACAAAATATAAACTTCAATGAATAGATAAAAATTACAAAAAGGACCAAACACTTCAGTAAGTTGGCAGGCTAAGACTCCAATTATATTCCTCTACAGCACCAAAATTTTTGCAGCTGTCCATAATCAAAAGCAATGTATGGGAGCTTTGGGATCCAAATAGGAGGCTGCAAAATCATGGTGGAGCCAAGACCAAAGAAGGCCATTTTGATAAGTCAGGTCTGCACCTAGGAAGAAAGGTCACCAACCATGGTCCTGGCTACAGATCCAGAAATAGTTCCATCCCTATGTGGACTAAGCTACAGCCCCATTTGGCCTTGAGCCTGCCACAAGCACCACCTATCGAGGAACCCAAGAGGAGTCATATCCACCCATGACTTAGAGAACTGGCTCTCCAGTCTTGATCCTGACAGTGGGCCCTGAAATACTCCGTGACCCAACTCCAGTCTAAAATGGAAACTGAAATAAAAACACAACATAGCAAGACTGATTAGATGAAGCAAAAGCTGTTGTAACAGGACATTATATAGTAATAAATGCCTACATTAAAGAATAGAAAGATTGCAAATAAACAATTTAACATACTAGAAACTAGAAAAAGAAAAAAAAATGCCCAAAGGTAGTAGAAGAAAGAATATAATAGAAATTAAAACAGGCTAGAAAGACAATAGAAAAAAATGAACAAAACTGAGTTGACTTTTTTAAAAGATAGACACAATTGCCAAATCTAATTAAGCAATAAGACACAGAAGACTCGAGTGAACAAAATTATAAATGAAAGAGGAGGTATTGCAATAGATTCTACAGAGAGACAAAGTAGTATAAGAGATTACTATAAACAATTATACACCTATGAATTATGTAATCTAGCAAAATGGATAAATTTCTAGATGCATACAACCTATGAAGACTGAATTATGAAGAAATGGAAAATCTGAACACACTAATAACAAATAAGGAGTTTGAAGCAGTAATCAAAAAATTCCCAACAAATAAAAGCTCAGAACCAGTTGGTTTTCTGGGTAATTTTTAACAAATATTAAAAGAAAAATTAATGACAATCTTTCTCAAACTCTTACAAAAATTTGAAGAAGGGAGAACACTTCCAACCTAATTTTACTAGATAAGCATTACTCTCATAATAAAGTTGGATGAAAAAAATACCCGAAAGGAGATTATAGGCCAGTATCCTTGATGAGAACATAAATGCAAAAATCCTCTAGAAAACATAGGCAAACCTAATTTAACAGCACATTAAAAAAATAATACACCATGACCAAATCCGATCTTTACCTGGAAACCAAGGATGATTCCAAGGTAGGAGGTGGGTTTTGACTCTGGAGGCAGGGCTTAGACTCTGGACTTTAATGAAGACGAGAGAAAAGCACCGCTCCATAAGACATGGCCTCCAGTGCCATGTTAGTTTATCATTGCCATGGCAACATGCAGAATTTACTGCCCCTTTCTATGGCAAGGAACCAATGACCTGGAAGTTACCATGCTTTTCCTAGAAATTGCTGCATAATCTGCCCCTTAATTTGCACATAATTAAATATGGTTTAAATATGACTTCAGAACTACCACTGAACTGCTACTCTGGGCACATTGGTTATGGGGTAGCCCTGCTCTGCGAGAAACAGTACCTCTGATGCTGCTGTACAATACTGCTTCAATCGAAGGTGCTAACACCACTGGCTCACCCTTGAACTGTTTCCTGGGAAAAGCCAAGAACCACCTCCAGGCTAAGCCCCAGTTTTGGGGCTCACCTGTCTGGCATCGTCTGCCAACCACAAAGGGATGAATACAACAAGTGAGAGGCAGCAAGACAGTGAAGACAACAACAATCAGTGGAGAGGCAATATGGCAAGACAGCAATTGGAGAGAGAGAGAAGCGGTGGGATGGCGAGATTGTGAGAGGTAGCAAGATGATGGGATGATGGGATAAGTGCCCTGAAACATGTCCCTGTCATCCTTTCCCCTGGTCCTTACTCTTCTGACTCCAGCAGTCATTTTATTTTCAGTCCTAAAATGAATGGTTCGTTTGAAGTCTTTTTTTTTTTTCTTTAACTCCCTGGGCAATTATAAAAGGCAGGACAATTGGTTGTGAGAGATATCCCATTGTGTTAACTTTGGGATGCCAGAGTCATCTTTTTCTGTGGCCCTAACTAGTACCTTGGGGTTTGGTCACTTCCTGATTCTCCAGGGTGTTTGGTATTTGGCTAGTCCCCAGACTCACATTTCTGGCATTTGTATGGGGGTCCTCACTGGCTGATGGAAGTTGAGTATCTATATCTCCAGTGAACTAATGATTCTATCTTTTGTACCCATTGTTGTGCTAGTGATACAGAAGCAGATGTTTTCCTACAATGCTCTGATCCAACTCTAGTTGTCAAGTTCCCAAGGCTGCAGCAAGGTAAATGGGATTCCACTTGTAAGTGAGGAGACCACATGTGGTGCCTTCTCCCAGATCAGAACATACAGGAAACAACAACAGCAACTTCCTGATTTGGGAAGGTTCCAATCCCCTTCTGGAAAATGAAGATTGTTTTGCCACCCCCAGTGGAACAAAGAAAGATTATTTCTATAGACCCAGCTTGGCAGCAATTGATAGAAATCACACCCTGTAGGTCTTCTATTTGCACCTCAACTGGTCTGGTTTCTGTTTGTGGCCATGAAGGGGAAAAAAGTCCTCCCTCATAACCAATCCTGGCAACCCCAGGAGCCACCTGTTCTTTTAGGAGTAGCTTTCTATTGTATATCAAAAACTTGGAATGAAGCTGAATGTATTTTGGCTATCCTTGCTTCTCTAAGAGTCACAGTCTTTAACCCATAAGACCCATAATACCTGTAGTAAATGAGCTACAGGATTAATCTGGCAAAAATCAAGGCAGCGATAGAATAAGCAGTACTCTGGAGTAGCTTTGCCTATCATGAGTTAACCCTAAGAAAACTTAAGTGAAACCCTAAAATTCTTAGCCATGAATACAAGTCAGGTATTAAAGGGAATTCAAGTGTCCCCAGGCTCTTTGGCAAATGTAGTTCTATATAACAGCTAGAATTGGATTATTTACTAGCTGAACAAGTTGGAGTCTGTGCAGTTATTAATAAAACCTGCTGCACATATATTAACAACAAAGAGCTACTTTGTTACATAAGAATAATCAGGGCACTGACCCCCACCTGGTTGACTATCAAAAGTGTCTTCCCAAATATCATCTGGTTTTTACTGCTGTCTTGTTATCACTAATCTTTGGCCCTTACTAGTTTAACCTCTTAGTAAAGTTTGTGTCTTCTAAATTACAGCAGTTCCACGTAAACATAATATTGGCACAAGACTTCTAATCCATCCTATCTACTGATCCAGAGAATCAAAGGTCCTGCTTCTGGGCCTCTTAGATCAGGTATCCAGAGAATTTTACTCCTCTTGTGCTAGGAACGACCTATGCCCATAAACTCAGCAGGAAGCAGTTACAGAAGATGGACTGTTGCCCTTCTGTAGCCCCTTTAAGATGAAGGAAGAGTATCATCTTAATTTTTCTTCCCACCAAAAAATAGGTAATTATGTGAGGTGATGTATGTATTAATTAACTTGATTGTGGCAATCATTTCACAAGGTATTTATATATCAAATCGTCATATAATATACCTTAACCATACACAATTTTTATTTGTCAATTATACCTAAATAAAGCTGGAAAGCAATTTCAAAAGGAGCCATACAGACATCCTGGAGCTGAAAAGTGGAATAAATAAAATTTTAAAAATCACTACATGGGTTCGGCAATGGATATGAGAGGACAGAAGGAGGAAGCAGCAAACTTAAAAAAAAAGGACAATTAAAATTAGTAAGTTTGAGGAGCAGAAAGGAAAAAAGAAGA
Source organism: Homo sapiens (assembly GCF_000001405.40). NCBI lineage: Eukaryota > Metazoa > Chordata > Mammalia > Primates > Hominidae > Homo > Homo sapiens. Next base: position 49,352,452 of record NC_000007.14, on the reverse strand, counting down.
AAGAAGACAAGCAAACAAAGAAGAAAGGACCTGCAGGAAACTATCAAACAAATTATCCTATGTATTTTAGGATTCCAAAAAGGAGAAAAGGGGATATAAATATATCAAGAAATAATGGCCAAACACTTTCCATATTTGATGAAAGATATTAATCTATATATCCAAAAAGCTCAATGAAATCCAAGTAGGATAAATTCAAAGAGATCCACATTGAGACACATTACAATCAGTGTCTACAGACAAAGAGATAATCTTGAAATTATCAAGAAAGAAATGACTCATCCCTTACGAAGCGATTCTCAATAAGTTTAGCAATCAACTTCTCATCAGAAACCATAAAGGCAGAAAGTGGTGGTTTAACATAATTAAAGTGCTGAAAGGAAAACAACATTACTACAAGCCTGTCAACTATTTTACCCCCAGAAAAATTGTTCCTTAAAAATGAAAGATAAATTAAGACATTTTCTAATAAACACAGTTTGAGGTAGTATGTTACCACTATACCTCCCCTGGAAGAAGTGAAAAACAGAGTCCTAAAGGTTGAAATGAAAGGACACTGATAATAACCCAAAGCCATAGGAAGAAACATAGGTCTTTACTAAAGGCAAATATATGGGTAAATATAAAATTATCCATTATACATCGTTATTGTATTTTTGGTTTTACTTTTTATTTTCCATATGATTTAAAGGATGAACACATAAAGCAATTGTAAATATATGTTATGAGGTGCACTATGTATAAAGATATATTTGTGGCAACAATAATATAAGGGTGTTAAAAAGCTGTGTAGGAGTAGAGTTTTTACATGTTAATGAATTCAAATAAGACTAATATAAGGTTAAAATGTTAAATGTTATCTCCATGGTAATGAATTGAATGAAATGAATTCAAATGAGACCAATATAAACTTAATATGTTAAATGTCATCCACATGATAATAAAAAATATTTTTAAACTATGCAAAAAGAAATTAGAAGGGAATCAATATAGTTCCCTGAAATCAACTATATGCAAAAGAAGGAAGTGATGGAGGAAATGAAATACAACAAGTAATAAGACATATGTAAAAACTGTAACAAAATGGCAGAATTAAGCCCTTCTTTATAAGTATTTACTTTACATGTAAATAGAATAAAGTCTCCAATAAAAAGTCAGAGATTGGCCAAATGAATAAATAAAACATGACTCAACTATATACTGGTGTGGTTTGCTATTATTTTTAAAGGATAAAAACCACAATTACTTTTGTACCAACCAAACAGCATCATGTAAAGAGACTAAGTCAAAAACTGTTTCAAGAAACAAGAAAAAACATTTCATAGTAATAACATTATAAATTAATGAATAAGATATTACAATTTTGAACACAATACACCAAAAGGGCTCCAAATATATGGCACAAATATTAACACAATATGAGTAAGAAATAGACTATTCTACAATTTTAGTCGAAGACTTCAATACATCACTTTCAATAATGGATAAAACATCTAGACAAGAGATTAATAATGAAATAGAGGACTTACATCTGTAAACCAAATATATCTAGCAAATATATAAAGCACTTCACTCAACAACAGCAGAACGCATATTTTGCTTAAGTCCACAAGGATCATTCTCCAGGATAGCTTATATGTTAGATTCCAAAACAATCTCAATACAAACAAAAATCAGTTACATTTCTATACACCAGCAATACACAACCTGAAAAAATTAACAAAGAAATTTTATTAATAATAACATCTAAAAGAATAAAACAGGAATAAAGTTAATGAAATGGATGAAATGCTTATACACTAAAAACTACAAAGCATTGCTGAAAAAAGTTAATGAAGACCTAAATAAATGAAAAGACATTCTGTGTTTATGAATTGAAAGACTTGACATTGTCAAGATGTCAATCATATCAAATTGATACATAGATTCAACACTGTCTCTATGAAAATTCCAGTGGCCTTTATCGCAGTAATACAAACTTTGATCCTCATATGCAGATGGAGTAGCATGATGTCTGAATAGCTGAAACAATCTGGAAAATTAAGAAAGTTGGAGGACTCACATCTCTTCATTTATAAACTTAATACAAAGCTACAATAATAAAAACAGTGTGGTAGTTGCATAAGGATAGACATATAGACCAATGGAATAGAATTACATTGAAAGTGAAGAAATAAACCATATATACATGGCCAATTAATTTTGGAAAAAGGTGCCAAGGCTATTCAATGGGTAAAGAATAGCCTCTTCAACAAAAGGTTCTGGGACTACTAGATTTTTGCATGCAGAATTGTGAAGTTGGACACCTATCTTGTACTATACACAAAAATTAGCTCAAAAATGGATCAAAAGCCACAATTTAAGAGCTAAAGCCATAAAACTTGAAGAAGAAAGCATACAGACAAATATTCATGATCTTGGATTTGGCAATGGTTTCCTAGAGTAAAAGAAAAGAACAACAAAAAATAAAACAAAAAACAGATAAACTAAAATATTCTGATACATGCCAAAATAGACGAACCTTGAAAACACTCTCTAGGTGAAACAAGCCAGACATGAAAGGAAAAATATCACATAGTTCCACTTATATGAGATATCTAGAGGAGACAAATTTATAGAGATAGTATATTAGAAGTTAGCTAGAGCTGGAGGAGGAGAAAATGGGGTGTTATTACCTAGGTGGTTATGGAGCTTTCTACTTGAGGTGATTAAAAAGTTTTAACAATAGATAGTAATGACAGGTGCAGAACATTGCAGATATAATTAATGCCATTTAAATTGTACATTTTAACATTATTTAAATGGAAATTTTTGTTACATATTTACAATTTTTAAAAACTTAAAATTGTAAAAATATGCATCACATTTACTTTTAAGTTGCATCTCTGTCTTACAGCTTTCTAGGGGCATTGAAATATAGCTGGCACTGTTGCCTTTGTCCTGGTTTAATATTATATATGTCCTTAATTTAATATTATATGTTTATGCACCCAGGATTGTGCTAACCTCTAAAGAGAGATTCTATCTATCTATCTATCTATCTATCTATCTATCTATCTATCTATCTATCTGGTATATTATATGAGATGGACAGATAGATATAAAAAGATAGATAGATCCTCTATTTGTATATGTAAAGTTCACCCTTGAACAACATCAACATGGGAGTTAGGGGTGACGACCCCTGCACAGTCAAAAATCTGCATATAACTTTTGACTCTGAAAACCTTAATTACTATTTGCCTACTATTGACCAGAAGCCTTACTGACTGCATAGTCAATAAACATATATTTTGTATATTATGTATTATATGCTGTATTCTTACCATAAAGTAAGCTAGAGAAAAGAAAATGTTATTAAGAAAATTATAAGAAAGAGAAAACAATTTACTATTCATTAAGTGGAAGTGAATCATCATAAAGGTCTTTATCTTTGTCTTCTTCACGTTAAGTAGGCCGAGGACGACAAAGAAGAGAAGTGATTGGTTTTGTTGTCTCAGTGGTAGAAGAGGTGAAAAAAATTTCATGCGTAAGTGGGTCCATGCAGTTCCAACCTGTGTTCTTCAAGGGTTTACTGTTTAATTGTGTATATATCTATTAATGCAAATCAAAACCACAATGAGATGCCATCTCACACCAGTCAGAATGGCTATTATAAAAAGTCAAAGACAGCAGATGCAGGTGAGGTTGTGGAAAAAAAAGAAACACTTATAAACTGCTGGTAGGAATGTAATGTCGTTCAGCCATTGTGGAAAGTGGTTTGGTGATTTTTCAAAGAACTTAATCAATTGACACGCAATCCCATTACTGGGTATATATCAAAAGGACTATAAATCTTTGTATCATAAAGACACATCCAGTCTTATGTTCGTCATAGCACTATTCACAATAGCAAAGACATGGAATCAACCTAAATGCCCGTCAATGGTGGACTGGTTAAAGTAAATGCAGTACATATATGCCATGGAATGCTAAGCAGCCATAAAAATAGAATGAGATCATGTCCTTTGCAGCAACATGAATGGGGCAGGATCCCATTATCCTAAGCAAATGAACATAGGAACAGGAAACCAAATACCCCAAGTTCTCACTTATAAATGGGAGCTAAACATTGAGTACACATGAACACAAAGGAGGACACAATAGACACCAGAGCCTATTTGAGAGTGAAGGGGAGAAGGAGGGTGGGGATCAAAAGTACCTATTGGGTACTATGCTTACTCCCTGGGTGACAAAATAGTATGTACTTCAAACCCCTGAGACACACAGCTTACCTATATAACAAACTGCAACTAAAATAAAAGTTTAAAAAAAGGAATAAAATTGACTCATGCATATTCAGCTTGTGTTCTGAGACATTGTTACAATTATTTATTAGTTTAAACAATTAAAAATAAGGAATTTAATAAATAGAACTTCTTTCTTCCTTATTCATTAAATAAATACGGCGGTGCATGTCATTGCTAAAAGAAAAAACCAAAACAGAAAAATTTCACAGCTCTTCTTGGAGCTTCCATTTAATTATATAAAGTAAACATGCATATAGGTAAGACACAAATGTGTATATATATATATATGTACATCTCTATTATATTTAATAAAATAAAAACAAAAAATTGTATATATATAATAAAATTATTTAAAATAATGAAACCATTGTCACCCACCCATAACTGCCTGTATTCCTAGTCCCTTTCCCTGACATACTTTTCTCTCAACATTAATTGTCAATTTATATCTAAATATACTTTATATTGATTTATCCATTTGTATAATATATATATTATATAGTATTGCAGGTGTGGGTCGTGACAATGGTTTAGCCATTTAAAATATTTTGGTCAGATAAAGAATCATAGACAAGGTGATGCTTGAGTACTTGCAGTCAAAGACACTAAAATGTATAAGCAGAGAATAATTTCAATAAAAATGATTCCTGAAAGAGCCATTTAGACCTCTTGCAAAAAAGTGAATGCTGGAGCATGCAAAACCAATCTTGGAGCAGGCTTATTACAGCAATCCTACATAAGTAAATGTGGTAACTATGCATTATATGTTTCAAATCAGGCTTTGGACAGTACATGTTTGGACAGTGAATCATTGTCATAAGGAAAAAAAGAAATTAACTCTTGCAAGTGTTGAGAACATGATTATTTGCCTAAAATAATAGTGATCAAATTTTTAGTCTTCCTACTCCTTTCTACTTTTGAAATTATTGAGGACTCCGAAGAGGTTTTATTAAAATGCATTACTCCTAACAGTATTTATCATATTAGAAATTAAATCACTAGAATACATAATTATACATCCCCTCAGTCATCAGAGAAATTACATAATCATGCCTCACTATGATTCTGGAACACTTCTCAACTAATTCATGAGAAAACAAGACAACGAAAAAAACACATGGCATCTTAGTTTACTAAGAAAGTAAGGTTGACAGTAAGTAATTTTGTCTTCACTGAGAGTCTCACTGTCCTCTAGGGCCCCTCCCACCCCCAATCATAACTGAGAACCACTGTCCTTGAAGTTTTCTTACTGGAGAAAGTTTCATTTTGCCATTAATATTGATCATAAAGATTCAGTTTAATCCAATAATCATTTGTCACTGTCTTCTCCTCTTTCTTCAAACCTCACATTCCTCCCTTTTTTTCAGGTGATTAGCTCATCTCATACTTCATTGACTACATGCTTTTAAATGGGAACTCTCTTTTCTCTCCATTGACATTGCTGTTTGCTCTATAACCATATCCATTCCTTTCTTCCCTTCTGTTACATCATGGAAATTTTGCCCATTTCTGTCAAAGGCTAATTCTTCAACTTGTATTCTGAATTTGGACCCTTCTATCATTTGAGAACTTCACTTCTGCCAGTTCTTCTCTCTTGCATGTCAATCTGAATTAAATCCAACAGTATTATACACTCTAGTTACCAAAGCTAAAAAAACTTAGAGTCATCTTGTAATCTCCCCTTTAATCAGTATTTCACCATTCCAACTGGAAAGTCAATTGATTCTACCTTCCAAAATACACACATTAACCATGTGCTCTTCTCTGTCCCCATTGCCAACACTTTAGCTCAAGCCAACATCATCTCTTGGCAGGATTACGGCAGTAATTTTCCAGCTGGTCTTCCTGCTTGCACTCACATTGCAAACAATCCATTCAGCAGCTAGAGTAATCTTTCAAAAACATATTCTGGTATATTTCAAACATATAAATGGATTTAAATGCTTGTATAACCATCATCATGGAAACCACAAGCCAGCTCAAATACTAAAATATTACTACTATATTTGAACCCCTCTGTATTCTTATATTTGCTCCATCTTCTTCCCTTCCCCAAGGGCTATCACTATGCTAAAAATCTGCATTATTATCCTCTTGCTATTCTTAACAATTTTAAACATATGAAACCCAACCCAAACACTTAATTAGGCTTTTTTGAAGTTTTTTTAAGTGAAATCCAACTGAGCAATCAGTGTGTATTCTTCTGTGACTTGTTTTCTTTTTCACATAGTTTTTGAAATTCTTGCATTATATTTATTTTCATTGTTATAAAGATTTCCACTGTAGTTATTTAGCCATTGTAGTGTTGATGAATATTTGCATCTTCTAAGGTGGCACACATGTTTTACCCCATTACTGGTGATTTTTTAATTAAAGGACTTTCTCCACTCATGTTACACATTTTCTCTTTGCAATAGTGAGTACATTGTGCGAAGTTCCTTTGAGACTATGTAGAAACACATTTCCTTTTCAAACTTTTTTGATGTGTTTGTTTGTTCACACTATAGCAGTATGAACTTGTGGACTACTAATTTATTCAATGAGTAATAGTATGTTGCTATCAGTAAGTACTCTGATACTCAAATTGTCACCAATTTTGCCAGTGGGAGGGCTATCTATATGTATAATCACTTCTATGAATAAACACAAAGGCAAACACTGGCAAACATCTGTCCTTGACCAAAATTTAGATGGGATCCTCTGTGCCCTCTTTTCAATTTAGCGTCATCCTTTGGCTCTGTGTTTGATCTGCTGAGTCCAGTTTTATCAAAAATCCTGATTAGTAGTTTTTTTTTTTTGTAAGAATCCCCCCTACCCTTGATGTTTCTCTTAGTAGTTTTCCATCCACTCACCTTCTTCGATCTGCTGGTTAGCTATAAATCTTTGTCATATTAGAGTTAAGCTGAGCCTGGTCTCTCTCCCCTCTTCCAATAATCTTGACACCTATTGCAATAGTCTTAAATAAAGTGCTACTTAAAATAATTAATTAATTAAAGAAGTAAAAAGGAGTAATAATACTTATCAATTACTTTTAGTGAAGAAACCTGGCTGACCCTTAATCAAGGGATTATAAATAAAATACTAAATTGTAACCGTGTTCCATAGGAGACAATTTAATGAGAACACAGTATCACTTCTGAGATATTCCTACCAAAGACAAATAACCTGAATCTAAATATGAGGTACCATCATGGAAACACAAATTGAAGGACATTGGATAAAATAACCAGGCTGCAATTTTTAAAAGTGCCAAAGTCTGACGTAAAAGAAGATTGATGGATTATTCAAGATTGAAGATGACTAAAAAAGATGAAAACTAAATGCAAGTTGTGATTTTTCAGCTGAAATATTTTGCTTGAAAACATTTCTAAGGAAAATGGCAAAACTCCAATCAGTCCAAGAATTAGAAATGAGTATTGCATCAGTGCTCATTTCTGATATTGATTATTACATGGTGGTTACCTAGGAGACTGTCCTTGTTTGTAGAAAATGCACACTGAGATATTTGGCAGGGGTAGTATAAGGTATCATGTCAACAAGTTACTTTCAATTATTCAGAAAATGGTTCTTTGTACTGTTGCTGAAACTCTTCTGTTTTAGATTGTTCTAAACTTTTAAATTTTTTAGGTTGTTCTTTTTAGATTGTTCTAAACTAAAAAGCAAAAATATAAAAAGAAGTATATGAAATAGATCATTATTTAGGCTTTTGTTTTGCTGTTTAGGAGTTGTATCAAGAGCCTTTAATTTAGTATAAAAAATTGGAAATCCTCTGTGGAGCTAAGACTGGTTAATTTATTAATTTATTAATAGCTAATAAAGGCAGAAAGTGTGAAATAAAATTATTGAGTTACACTGTTTGACAGTTTATAAAAATGCAGTTAAAAATTACCATTGAATAACACTATGTTATAGACATTTTGAACATTGAAAAATTTTCTAGAACCTTTACATTTTGCTTAAAGTGTATTACTATTGACCTGTATTAAACCTAGATGCAGATTCTTTTTTAAATGAAAGACTGTAGGCAGCTTTGTATTGGTCCTTTGTAATAGAAGACCAGCGTGCCTTTTCTCAATGTAAAAAGCACAAATCAATGAAATATATTTATATAATAAATTGCTAAGCTATGGTTACTTCTAGGAAGGCTAAATATCTCTATAATAATTGAATGAATTTTGGAAAAGCTTCTTACAGTAGTGTTGAACTACTAACATTTGTGAAATGCCAAAAAATATCCTAATTATATTATCCCTCCTTTTTCATACAAAGGGCAAATTTTTATGGCTGTCCAGTGGACAATGAGAAAACTTTGAAGATGTTTTAAGCATAAAATAAACCTTGAATATTCTAATGTTTTGAATTTTGGGTCTGAATTTTGGAAAAACAATTAGTAAAATCTTCCATGAGAGATAACCATAAAAATAAGGAATAATCATTAGTTGGAGAATTTAATAATCAGAATGACAATCAGAATTTTTAAAATGTCAACACATCTAGAGCATTAGAAATTAAATTTTATATATACTTATTAATTTATAAATAGATGAGTATTGTAGCATTTTGTCCTTTAAGAAGTCTTGTAATGCAATGGATTTTCTCATCTTGATTTCAGGTGAGTCTATTTGAAATAAAACTTATAAATACATACTCCATATTCCACCACCAAAAAAAAGAAATTGATACAGTAGAATCAAAACACTTTTTTCCCTTTTTGTTCTAGAACTCCAGAGGGGTGAGAAATCTTAGAAAATGCAGTTTTCCTTTCTAACCATTATAATTAAAAATGATCTTAGTAAAAATTTGACACACTACCGTATGGATACAGGAATTGGAGTTACAACGAATCTCCATGTATGAAGGGGGAGTGTTAACTGGCTCCAGCTCACAGTTGACAAGTTCAAGAGAGCAACACAGAGGTTTCCTTTGTATCTAGAAAATAGGCTTACCAGTGATGGAGGAAAGACAAGCATCCTGCCTATAAGAAATAGATAACTAGACAATACACAAGTGTTCGAAGTTCAGCCAATAACTCAGAATCACACCAAAGTCACATAGTGTATCACTCCAAGTGAAAATTCAGAGAGCAAAAAAGAGCACTGTCACATTCATTTATTTCTTCACATAAAGCCGCAAACTCAGGATAGTAGAATTGAGGTGCTCTTTGATATCCAATCTTAGTATTCAGTGATCCAGGTGAAGAAAATCTTAATGAGACTTCCAGACTTATAAGGAGTAAACAACAGATGAACACTGCATTTATTTTCTTAATAATCAAAGGAACACACTCCAGTAAAGGAATTCACTTAGTAATTCACTGAAGTGAAAAGTCTCTGAGCTAGTAAAGTGTGTGAGGAGTCATAAGCATTCATGGTAATGCTAATTAAGGAAAGAAGGAACACAGCACTCAGTTTTCATGTCTCCTAAGCAAGTACTACTGTGAGTGGATGGTTTTACTTTTACACCAGGTATAACTATGGATAAAGATGGGGAAAACATTTGCTGATGAATAACCATCAGATTCTACCACAGTCTGCCTCTCTGGCAGTTGTATTATTCATGTACATCATCCTCCCAAAACAGAATACACTAATTTCTTCCCCAAAGAAGTGGAACCTAAATGTGATTCACTGATAACTCCTGTGGACTGATAAAATTATTAAGACAAGTCAGGACCCTTTGCCTTTACCAAAATACCCACGACGTGGTCACCAATAAGATAGCAGACATAAAAGGGATAAAGCTAGTGCTGATGAAGGGCAATTGAGCTCCCACAATGGGGCTTAGCCTGGGAGGGTTCTTGGCTTCCCTCAAGGGTGAGCTGGTGGTGAGAGAAAGCAACTTTCACTGAACCGGTGTTGCTCCTTACACAGCAGGTCTAACCCACAGGTAGTGTGCCCAGAGTTGGAACCTGTGGGCTGATAGCTAGCTGTATTTATACCCACTTTTACTTATATGCTAATTAAGAAGTAGATTATTCCAAACTTTCTGGAAAAGGGCAGAGGAGTTTCTGGAACCATATGAGGCAACTCCTGGGCCGTTGCCATGACATGTGGCCATGGCATTTGTAAAATGTCATTGTGCTGGTGGGAGTGTCCTTATGCTAATGAGCAGGAAGGGCAACTAGAGGTCCCCTCAATTACCATCTGTTAGTATCAGCAGGCTTCTTCACTGAACCCTGCTTTGACCAGATTCCGCTGCCATCAACAGAGTCATAACCAGTAAGCAAGTCCTGCTAATCTCCTACCTCACGTCCAAAAAGGCATACAGCAATAATGGATTCCTATCAATGAAGGAACTATGCTCAGCAGCAATTTGAGTAACACCTCACCTGGAAATTGAGAAGGGTCTTCTTGTTTTGACCATTTGGACACTGGTGTTCTGCTCCGTAGTCTGCTGCAGACATTGGCCTTGCCTTCTGGGAGTTTCTTTACGATTCATTATCCTCTCTGACCATATACACATTGTCAATTGGAGTGTGTGTTTCCCTTGGAGACTATACAGTTACAGAGGCTGCTTTCTTCTTGAGTAGGCACATATTCCTTCTTCCAAATTATATTAAAAAAAATAGCTCTCCCAAATATTTCTCAGTCCTTATCAGTAAGTACCATTAGCTGACTAGCTGTCATATTTGCTTCATCTCTATTCACTGCTTTATTTTGGTCTATGCTACATAGCTTAGGTTTTGGTGGTGTATTCCCAACCCCACCCTTCACTTAAAAATACTGAAGTATCTGTGCGTTAGGGTAAATACTAAGCTATATAAGGAAGAAACCAAAAAATAAATAGTCTAAAATACAGATAAATTATTTTTTCTTAGTCTAAAAGTGCAAGGAATTTTATATATTTTTCTCAGGTAAAAAATCTAGGGAGGTAGACAGGGCACTTTATTTTGTATTCCTTGGATCTCGTTTCTGACTTAGCAAGCTAACTTCACCTTCTTTGTCAAAGCCAGGTCACAGATACATTCATGTTACAGCTCACTAGAGAGAGAAAGTAAATGGAAGTATAAGTGTGCTGTCTTACGGTGCAGGCGTGGAAATGACAGATGTCACTTTAACTTCATTTCATTAGTAACGATTTGGTCAAGTGGCCACGTTAAATTGCACTGGGGTGTGGCTATATAGTCATCAACTATGCAGCCACTTGTCTGGCTTTAATTCTATTGTGATGGCAGAAGAGAATTGGGTTTGGTTGAACAACTCTCAATTCCTATCAAAACCTTCATTATTACTGTCATGTCACTGAAACTACAATTAAACATATATTGGTTAATATGAACATTAGTCATTTTTTAACTTAGCTCATTAATTAATGTGATAAAGCCTATAATGGTAAGGCTATTTCAAAGAGAGTGATGATTATTTTATATGTCAGCTTGACTGAGCTCCAGGATATGCTGCAGTTCTGCCAAGCATTATGTTGGGTTTGTCTGTGAGGATGTTTCTAGATAAGGTTAATGTTTGAGTCAGTAGACTGAGTAAAAGCAGATTGTCCTTCCTAATGTGTGTGGGCTTCTTTCAAACAATTGAAGACCTGAATAGGACAAAAAGGCTGAGTAAGAGGGATGTCCTTTTGCCTGACGGCTTGAGCTAGAGTATTGGGTCCTTTGAGTCTTTGGATATAGATTGAATCATTACCCTTTCTGAAGTCTCAGCCTTCTGGCTTTTGCCTTTGAAATGAAAACACCAACCCTCTTGATTCCCAAAGTTTCACTCTGAAACTGGAACAAAACATCAGCTCGGCTAGGTCTCCAGCTTGCTGACTGCAGACGTTGGAACATCTCTGTCTCCATAATCATGTGGGCCAATTTCTTCTAATTGATTTTCATCTCTCTCTCTCTCCATATATATATATATATACAAACACACACACACACACATACATATACATATATATATACTTTTAATTTTAAAACTATAATACTAATAATTTAATGAAAAAATATGTAATGAAAACCCTAGGTGAAATACAAAACAAAATTAAAGGACAATAACACAGTAAGCAGGGACTATTTCTTCCAAAATAAATTTATAATTTAACATGTACTCTACAGTGTCTGGCCAATAAAATAATAGACAATGCAGACACACGTGCATTTGCTTAAGTACTTAAGTGATCTTGGGTGATCTTTTCATGCATCACTTTGAAAAGGGATGCAGTCATTCTTAACATAGTCTTGTTCTTCTTTTATGTTTTTTACTTCTATGTTATTACTTTAAACGTTCAAACTCACCTGATTTATATTATCTATCTCACAATTCCATATTCTGAATTCCTTACTGGTCTAATCCTATTGGGAATCATTTCTCATGGACCTCATTCTTTGTGCCTCATGTCTCTATGGGTTTTGTAATTTTAGATTGTGAGCTTAAGTTGGTCTATACCTTATCAGAAGAAACCTTAAAAGAAATTAGTTGAAGCCTCCCTTCTAAATAGGATTTGCTTTGCTCTTCCAGTTGCTCCAGGGATCTTTATTTTTAGGATAAAGTTTTTAGAGGCTGTAAAAGTCAGGAAATCAGTAGGAACATGTGACAACAGAAAGGATGTAAAATAAAGCAGAGCATGAGCTGAGCTGCCCCCCTGTGACCCAGACATTGACATCAGATAATGCTTAAGGTGAAGAAAATTAATACTAGACTTAATTTTTGATTTTTACATATGGATAACCGGCCATACATCATGTATTTATTTGGAGAGTCTCTAGAAAATCATTAGCTATGATTAAATAAATAAATCTCTGTTGGTATCTAACTTGTGTAGCATGCCATGTGAAGTGGCTCATGGGGGAGTCATTTTAATTACAAATCAAGGCCTCCAGGTGAAAGCTGCTGCCCTTGTGGTTTTCAATTATAAGATCATATTTTAAATCACTATTTGCTTTCGCCTTCCACAACTTATTAACATGTACAATATATTGCCTTCCTGGAAATGTGTCTTTTAAACTGTTTTTGCTTTGGAAGTGACTGCTTATCTCTTTTTTTGCCCCCAGCAACATTCAAAATGTAGTTTGTATTGATTTGATTTAAATCAAGCTAGTCACAATAAAAATTTTAAATATGGAATATATATGTGTGAACTATGGCCTTAAGTCAGTAGTAATATATCAGTGTTTGTAATCTATTGTAGCAAATGTACTGCAATAATCCCAGATGCTAAGAGAGAAACTATGTGCATGTGGTGAGGCAAGAGGAAAATCTCTCTGTACTTTCTGCTCAATTTTTCTATAAGTCTTTAACTGTTCTAAAAAATAAAACCTGCTAATTTAGAAAAAGACCAATTTTTCAAGAAAAAGATGTGTTTCCTCACTCAAAGAGAAATAGAAATTTGAACTACATAAGTTACCATTTTTTCATCCTTTACATTATCAAAAACTAAATCTCAACAGCATTTTCTGGTAAGAATTTGAAGAAAGAGACATCTACAATTCCTGATGGGAGTGAAAAATCATATACCTGCTGTTGAGAACACTTTGGCACTTTGGTAATAGTTAGCAAAATTAAATGAGTATTTACTTCTTATAAAGCAATCCATGTCTAGAAATCTATGCCAAGTAGAAAGTTACTTTTCCTTAAGCTTATCTGCTGAGGCTTTGCTTGTAACAGCAATTTACCACTACTTGGAGACTTATTGAATAAATTACAGTGCATCTATAAAATGAAGTTCAATGCAACTGTGAAAAGATAATGAAGGACTTTAGTAAATGCTGATTTGAGGTGACACCCAAATATTTTGTGAGTAAAGAAAAGCATGATGCTATTCTCTCTTATATGTAAACAAAAATTAAATTTTTGAAAGGCACATTTATGCGTCTATTTGTAAAAAATAAAAAAAAATTATTCAGGCCAGGTGCAGTGGCTCACGCCTGTAATCCCAACACTTTGGGAGGATGAGGCGGGCAGATCATGAGGTCAGGAGATCGAGACCATCCTGGCTAACACGGTGAAACCCCGTATCTACTAAAAATATGAAAAAATTAGCCGGGCGCGGTGGCGGGCGCCTGTAGTCCCAGCTACTAGGGAGGCTGAGGCAGGAGAATGGCGAGAACCCGGGAGGTGCAGCTTGCAGTGAGCCGAGATCACGCCACTGCACTAAAATTGAAAGGCAAGGACATAAAAAGCTTCCTCAGAAGTCTTAGGTGAATAAAAATAAAGTAGTATTATTTGAAAATGTTTTATATATCCCAGAAAATACAGCTAATAGAATTATAGTAATGTTCTTGGAAGCCAGGATATTTTATGTGAAAGAAAAGATAGTGTAATTATAAAACAAAAAAGTTAGTTTAATTTGAATCAAGATGTTAATATTAAATTATTATTATTTTTGTTTGAATTATATGCATATCGCAATTCTATACTCTGAAGTGTCTTAAGAGGAAAGACAACCTACTATCAATAAGTAGTCCTAGTTCCTAGATTGCTCTCTGTAAATATTATCAGCCACTGAAAGGAAATGGAACTTCTTAGTGGAATAGCCAATTCCATATCAGGTAGATTTACAAGGTATACCTGGAATACGTTGTTGTGTCAGAAAGAAAATCAAGTCAATGAGTTCACATAAACAAATCACAGCAGCCAATTTGGCATATAGGACAAAGATGGGACACTTGGAGCCACAAACAACATAAAAAGTACAATTGATTGAAATGAATTGAATATATAATATCTCATGAGTTTATGATGATGCTATAAAATAGAACAATAACAAAAATAAAACAAAACAAAAATTACCATTGATCATGATTGAAAATAATTAGCAATTATTATAATTAGCAAAAATTACCTTTGAAAATGATTACCTTACCTGAAAGTTGGAAGGAAAAGGAAAATAATTAGGCATTTGTTCCTCCAGTACCGTACATACTGCATTACAAGTAAGTCAAATCAAATGGTCATCAACTTAAAATGGTTTGACTTATAATTTTTTTGATTTTACAATGGATTTTTCATGGTATTAGATGAATTTTCAAGTTATTATTTTTTTTACTTATGATAAATTTATTGGGAAGTAATTCCATCGTAAGACAAGAAGCATCTGTAGTCCCATTGCTTGAGAAAAAGATCTTTTTCACCAGCAAATCCTGAATAATTATGGAAGGTAACATATAATTAGAAAATAACTAAGAACTTCGAACTATTTGATTCAGACAAAAAACACCAATGGATGACATTATTAGCTGATAGGGCAAAGGAATACTTGAAACAGAGGCATTCAGCTGTTGCTATCTGAATCACTGATCACTAAGAGAGAGACAGCCACAGACATTATGTGCCACCTGCTGAAGTACAAAACACCATGTGTGAAATAGCTTTGCTGAAAATAGGTAGCACCAAATATCAAGTTTCTAGGGATAAATTTCATTTTCAGAAAATATGGGTGGATGGGAGGCACGGTATAGGTACAAGTTAAATTACACTAAGAGGGGAAAAAAAACTGAACAATTGATAATTTAGTATATGTTACAAGATAACTAATCAAACAGGTCACGACTCCAATAGGTCATTCGCATAGAAAAAACATACAAGAGATATAATTATGACATTGTAATTATATAAAAATTATAATTTTAAGATGTGTACACTGAATTACGTAGTGTTGAAATGGCATAAGTTCATGAATTATCTATAAAAGTCTTCAGCAACCACAGTGAAGGTGATAGATGAAAGAAATATGGTTAAATTGAGATAATTTTGACTGTTGGTGATGGCTTATATGTTGTAATATACACTTCTAGGTTGGGACACATTTAAAACTTTTTGCATATAAATTGAAAATTTTAAAAATGGATCAGATAAGTTTATAATAACATATATTTATAAACAGTTTTCTAAAAGAATATAACAAAAAAAGATCAAAATAAAGAAATAGAGGCCAGGCCTGGTGGTCACGCCTGTAATGCCAACACTTTGGGAAGCTGATGCCAACAGATCACTTGAGGCCAGGAGTTTGGGACCAGCCTGGCCAACACAGTGAAACCCTGTCTCTACTAAAAATAGAAAAAAATAGCTGGGCGTGGTGGTGCACATATGTTATCCCAGCTACTTGGGAGGCTAAGGCATGAGAATTGCTTGAACCTGGGAGATAGAGATTGCAGTTAGCCAATATCATGCCACTGTAAAAAAAAAAAAAGAAAGAAAAAGAAAAAAGAAAAATAGAGAAACATACGTAGCAATAAAGAAAAAATAGTTGGTCATATTATTATCAGATAAAAGTAAATATTAAGGAGAAAAACATTATATGGGAACAATTTTAAAAACCCACCAAAAAGACATGAAACCATAAACTTTTATTAACACAACATAGATTCAAAAGCAAAATGCAATAGAGAAAGGTACATCCACATTTGTAGTATTAAACTCCAATAAAACGTGTTTCAGGCATTTGAAATGCATGTATATTAACAAAAATATGGGATACAGAGTATGTAATTTATACATTTAGCAAGTATGATAGATATATAGATACATAGGCAAGTAATAGATGCTGAAAGAGAACATGGCATTTACGAATATACAGTTTCTTTTTAAACTTACATAGGATAGTTATAAAAATTATCTTTGGGTCAAAAAAGAAATACGCATAAATTACATGAGCAGTGATCATGTAGATTGTGTTCACTGATCAGAATTTAATAAAAATACAACTAAATAACAAAAACAATATATTAAGAATAGACCAAATGATTTTTTTGAGCATTCAAATTTTCAACATGCTTTCCTAAATAACTCCTCATTTGTTTATTTTATCAGCATCACAACACTTGTTTTTTTTTTTTGTTGTTGTTGTTTTATAGCTGGATTACTTTTATAGACTCAGTAATAATCTCATAAAAGAAGAATTTGTCAAACAGGTAAGCCCACTCTACTTCTATTACTTTTGTATTTACCATAATATTTAACTCTCATGTTCACGAAAAACTCAGTATCTTTTTCATTCTCCTAAACAATACAAGATGTCTAGAACACTTTCTCTGATAATATCTCACAATTTTTACTTATGTATTTTAGATATTTCATTTTTAGCCCCTCAAAAATATTTTTTGGTGTTATCCATCACCTTGAGTGCTTATCATTTTTTGTTTTGGTATTATTTAAAGTCCTCTCTTCTAGTTATTTTGAAATAGACACAATATTTTTGCTAAGTATAGTCATCTGAGTTCACTATCAAATATTGGGTCTTATTTCTTCTATCTAACTGTATGTTTGTACTGATAATCAATCTGTCTTCATCCACACCCCCGTCATGCTTCCCAGATTCTGATATCTATCATTTTGTTCTCTGTGTCTATAAGATCAACTATTTAGCTCCCACATATGAATGATAACATGTGTCTGGCTTATTTCACTAAAACTTATGGCCACCAGTTCCATCTATGTTGCTGCAAATGACATGATTTTATTCTTTTCATGACCAAATAGTATTCCATTATGTATATGTACCACATTTTCTATATCAATTCATCAATTGATGGGTTCATAGGTTGATTCCATATCTTTGCTATTGGGAATTAACTCTTGCATTTTTTTTTTTAAATCAGGTTTGGCTAATAACAACGGATTACAACCCCCACTCAAGGTTTTTTTCACCCCTAGAAAACAATTAGAATTCTAGACACAATATAATAGCAAGTACTTGTAGAAAATGCAGTGCAAATAGGACTAAACAGAATCTGCTTGGGAGAACCCTGTAAGAGAGGGAAGTCAACTTGCATAGTATATGTTTCTCATTTTGAATTTTTAGGCCTAAAACATGGGCATGATGTGTAGAGATAGAGGCAGGATAAATCATTAAAGAAAACCCCATAGTCTTTGCAGCTGGGAGACCAGCAAACTCACACCAGGGAATCAAATAGTGAGGGGAACTCAGAAGAGAAAGGGCCAAGAAGGACTCCACAGATTTATTCTACCCACAAATCTGATTGATCACTGAACCGTGGGTATAAGAAAAAGACTAAAAGTTTCTTATGGACAAAAATTCAGAACTGAGACTCAAGTTGCTACCCAATAAATAGAATTGCCATAAAAACTAGACCACGTTAATTGACTGTTTACACAAAAGGAAAAAAAAGCCACCATTGAATAAAACCAGATTTTAAAATCTTTACAAGTTAGCATTCATGACAGCTGGAATACAATTCAAAATTATCTAACACAGGAAACCAAAGAAAATGGAATACATTCTCAGAGGGAAAGAAAATCAAACAAGTGTGACCTCAAGACAAAACAGCTATTGGAGTTAGTTGACAAGGATTTTACAGTGGTTGATATAACTGTTCTCATGAAAAAAATGAAATATGTTCACAATGAATAAATATATAGAAAATCTCACCAAATAAATAGTAATAACAGTAAAAAGCAATGAACATTTTTGGTTCTACTGGGGCCACACTGCCCACCGACCTTAACTAAAACCCCTAAATAGAATATAACAAACAACTCCCTGAGGACACTGAAAAGTACACAAATGCAGGCAGATTACAGATGTGAGTTTAAACCTGAGAAAGCCACCTGCATAGGTTTTCTTGTCTTGTGTCTTTTCCTTGAGGATAGACCCTGTTTGCAGAGCATCAGGATAGCACACGTGGCTAAAATTCTAAAACTAAATTCACTTTTATCACTAGAACAAAAAGAGGAAAAGGAAGCACTTCACATTAGAGAAATAATTTTTTGGAACAGACTCCAAGCAGCATATCAAAGGCTTAGAGCACAGAACTGAGATTTTAACTATCTACCTAAGTTTCAGTGTAACAGCTGATGCATGCGTGCACTTGTTAGACCTAAACAAGTATAACGAATGTTTAGAGAACTGAACTGAAACTCATACCAGCACCTGCAGAAGGCAAGACAAAACTACAGTCTAATTTTAACCCAGCTTATTCCTTGCTAAATGAATACATCAATGCTGTCTATATCATTTGCCAATATCCAGAATGCATTCTAAAATGACTCAATATCAAAAGAACTAGAGAATGTGACTAGTTTTCAAGGGAAGAGACAATAAACATAACAGTGACTCTGATGCTGGAATTATCAGATTAAAGAATGTACTATAAAATATTTTTATCATCTATCATAAAACGTTAAACATACTCTCATAATTGAGCTCTAGAAGGTGAAGTGCAGAACAAATGGTAGATGAACTAAAGCTCTCATCATCTTCCTGATAGAAAAAAGTAGAGCATTGATCTATCACCCCCTGTTCCAGCTGCACCTTTAAGAAAAGACTTTTATCCCATATGTCTTGGGGGCACCAATGAGACTTGACACATCCTAATTTCCTAGGAATCCCTAATAATAAAGACAGTGGCTTAGACAATTCACAAAATTTGGAGTGGCACCTGCAATTTCCTGCTGGGTTGACTGCTGAGATCCATCTCTGACATGAGTCCAGACTGGTAAGACTAAGAGAGGCAGTTGTCTTACCTAACATACATAAACCAACACAAAGAATCCAAAAAAATTAAGAAACAGGAAAATATGTATCAAATAAATAAATAAGAAAGTATGAAAGTAATTGGCAAAGGTAATTATACAGACAAAAAAGATATTACTGTAACAGTGGTTAGTAAATGGTAATCCTAATATAAAAGTCAGAAGATAAATGTACTAAAAACAATTATTAAAAATTATGTTAATGGGTACTCATATAGCTAGTTATAAATTGTGATATCAATAACTTACACTGTGGGGGGGAGAAAAGGTATAAAGAGGATGCTGGCACGGGAAGATAGATACACGGGAAGGTAGGTAGACATTATCCTCTAAAAAAAAGACAATTATAACTGTAACATATTTTATGTAAGTCCCTTTAGTAACCAGAAAGAAAAACCATATGAAGTTATCCAAGAGAAAAAAGAATAAGGAGTGAGACCAATTAATAAAAACATGAAAGACAAAGGAGGCAGCATGAGAAAAAAGAGGCAAAAGAACAAGACAAACAGAAAGCCATTAACAAAATGACAACAGTAAATTATTTCTAAGCAATAATTACTTAAATGCAATTGCACTAAGTCCTGAATAAAAACAACAGAGAAGCTAAATGGATTTTTAAAAATCAAGATCCAACTATATGCCGTTTAAAAGAAAAACACTATTCATTCAAGGACACACACAATCTAAAAGTGAAGGTATGGTAAAACATATTTCATGCACATGACAACCAAAATAAAGCAGGAAGGGTTACACTTGCATCAGAAAAAGTAGACTTTAAGTAAACTACTCCCTTTTTAAACTTTTACTTTAAGTTCTGAGATACATGTGCAGAGCGTGCAGGTTTGTTACATAGTTATACATGTGCCATGGTGGTTTGCTGTACCTAGCAACCCATCATTTACATTTTAAACCTTGCATGCATTAGGTATTTGTCCTAATTCTCTCCCTCCCCTTTCCCCTCACCCCCCGACAGGCCCCCATGTGTGATGTTCCCCTCCCTGGTTCCACGTGTTCTCATTGTTCAACTCGCACTTACGAGTGAGAACATGAGGTGTTTGGTTTTCTGTTCCTGTGTTAGCTTGCTGAAGATGGTGGTTTCCAGCTTCATCTATGTCCTTGCAAAGGACATGAACTCATTCTTTTTTATGCCACTATGGTGGCATAGTATTCCATGGTGTATATGTGCCACATTTTCTTTATCCAGTCTATCATCGATGGGCATTTGGGTTGGTTCCAAGTCTTTGCTATTGTAATGGTGCTGCAATAAACACTATTAAATATGTGTGCATGTGTCTTTATAGTAGAATGGTTTATAGTTCTTTGGGTATATACCCAGTAATGAGATTGCTGGGTTAAATGGAATTTCCGGTTCTAGATCCTTGAGGAATCACCACACTGTCTTCCACAATGGTGGAACTAATTTACACTCTCAGAGACAAAGAAGATCATCACATAATAAAATATGGGTCAACTCAACAGGAAGATACAACATATATATATATGTATATAAACGCTATATATATATGTGTGTGTGTGTATATATATGTGTGTGTGTGGGCATATATATATATGCCCAACTTCAGA